>NC_000006.12:9302424-9453939 GCF_000001405.40 Homo sapiens | reverse complement strand
AGAATGCTTTATGAGGGGGAACAGCAAAATATCAAATGGCTCAGTGTGTTGTGAGTCTCTTAACATTTGAGATGCTTGGCTACCTCAGCTCCTGCCTTTGAGTTCCATTGTTCCTGAAAAGCAACCTAAATGATAAATGATTCCAAGTTATCATTTCTCTACCACTGTGTGGGAAAGACATGAAAATTCCTTTTCTTGGTTTGAGCAGTTACTTTAAATAAGGTTTGAATAATGAATGAGATCTTTTCAATCTAAAATTTCCTATGTTTGTTTGGGTATGCAGAAATAAAAAAATTGAAATGATAAACTATGATATTTCTATATGTTGTTCATATTTAATACACTATTGGGTTTCCAGTTATATCACCAATGACATAAAAATTCATGTGTTATTAAAACATTTGTCAGTCCTTATGGAACCTTTCATTTTCTAAGATTCTGAACACTTGTTTTATTTATTTAGAGCTAGGATTCAAGTCATTTATCAGGTACTGAGTTTGGCACTTAAATTACCTTAATTTATTTTCAGTAAACAATGTAAAACAAGTTTTTATTAAGCAAATTATGTTAAAGACCCGAAGCAGGCATAATGATCTTAGCTTTTTGGATTATTTTGCCTCAATTCTGCTAGGCTATTCTACGCAGATTAATGAACTGGATTTTCTCTAAAGTGAGAGCATGACTGTGTGTTTTGTATGGAGGCCTCTTTTCAGATGGTTAATGCTGAAGAATCCTACTTGAACCTTGGTTTCTGAAGATGAGAATAATGAGACTACTTAGGCTTTACATACCACTGGGAAAGATGAACAGTGCCTCACTACATTCATGGGAACTTGGTGTGAAACTCATAATAACCAAATTTCTAATTGAATAAGGGGCTTAAAATGATAATTTTTTTGTAGTAGAATTTAAATTCAGTGTACATTTTTCCAATTCTGTGAGAGGTAAAATCTGCAGGTATGATGATAAAGGAATTTAATAGAAAATGCAAAAGACTTACACCTAATTATAGTGGCTGAGAGTCAATTCTTCAAGAGTATTTTAATTTAATAACATAAGTTGCTTAACATCACTTAAACAAGCTTTCAACTTATATCATTGATTAGATTTAATATTTAAATTAAGAGATGAAAACTTTAAGTATTAAAATTACCTTTATAGATTACTTAGGCCTTGGTACTCACTGACATGCTGATATCAGAAAGTAATTGGCTGTAATCTGAGGACGTGTTTACTACAGTTAGCTTTTATCCCATCATCTCTCCATAATCATTATATAGTCTTAGGATTTTAATACTTCAAGCTGTTAAACTATAATAATAGCATCACAAAAACAGAATCAAAACAAAATAAAAAATACCCAGATTGCAAACTAAGTTATTTTTATTTTTATGCTTAAAGAAACCAAACTTCTGCAACTCCATGACAAATTGAATACACAATTTTATATATTTTGTTTATGGAAGAGATACAATATTATATTCTGCTTCTGTTCACATAATATAAATAAACATTCCACAGTGGTTACACAGACTTTTTATTAATGTTTTAGGTTTTATTTAATATTCTAATACAGATATGCTATTTGCTTACTTTTCTATGATTTAACATTGAGTTTATTTCCAATTTACTGTTTCCAATATTTCAATAATCACCTGTGAATATCTTGTAAAAATAGCATATTCTTTCTGAGGGATTAATTTTTTAGAAAATTCTCAGGGAAAGAATGGCAAGGTATTTACAATAATCTGATTTCTTTCCTGGCTACAATAAGATTCTTAGTTTTACATAGTCAACATCTTTTCATTAAAGATTAATTTTATGCACTGTGTTTGAATTTTGTGTTACTTTGCAAACCCTTTAGTAATTGTTTACATTCCCTTCCAACTTTCTATGAACTCCATCACTGAAGGAATGTAGGAAAAGAAAAATGCTGCACTGGTGTCTTTATCAGCTTTGGTTTCTTCTTTAAGGCCATTTTGAACTTTATTTTCTTGTTATTCTAGTTAACTAATAATATAAAATAATATCGAAGCAAGAAATTACCCTTGACCCCTTCGTGGGCCTTGTGACAGGTATGCCTCACTTACTCAGCCCACAGCTCTCAATCCCTCGTGGGAGGGGGAGCATGCAGGTGAGTGGGTGAGGGAGCCAGAGTGAGCACTTTTGGGCACCGAAATAAGCAAAACTCTGTGCAGGACCCTTGGCAGTGTGTATGGGGGTGTACCTGCAACCCCCAAAGCCCCAGAGGGCATGGGTTACAGGCAGCACTCTTAACTTTGCCATCCATGGATACATTAAGTGTTTAAGGGCTCAGTGGACCTTCTGTCATTTCACGAGGGCAGTGGGTCAGTGTGACAGCTTTCTGTATCCTAAGCTCTTGTCCAGCGTCCAGGAAAAATCAGGTCACATGAACAAATTTAAGGATAGTAAATGTGAAGGATTTTATTGCCGATGGAAGTGGCATTAGGCGGGAAGGGGAGCTAGAAAAGGGATGGAATGGGAAGGTATTCTTCCCTGGAAGTACCACCTTCAAACTGTCCCTCTGAAGGAAAGCTGCTTCTGTCTGATGTTCAGCTGCCTCTTCTCTTCTCCCCTTTTCTGCTGTCTGCCAGTGGAGCCTGGGGTTTTTATTGGTACAGGATTGAGGGCAAGGCAGGCCAGGTGGGTTTGCAAAAGACAACATATAAGCAGGAAAACTGGGATGTAAAATTCTCACTTTGGGCTTTGGTTGCAGACCTGAGGGTGTGGCTCTCACCACGGACCCCACAGTTTTCTGTCTAGAATTTCTCTGCCTCCTGTCCCTATCAACAGCAGGCTTGGGACAGAGTTCTCTAGAACACATTTTTCAAAATTCCTTTTTCCCTAAAGTGTTTTCCTAAGTTTAGTTTATGAATGACCTTTAAAAGAGCCATGACGATAATATGATATAAAATATCTAGTTCTCTAGTTCTTGAAATCAGTGCTATGCAAAAACACAATTTGAAACTTGGTTACTCAATGACTGATTTCAAAAGTATAATAGCATTCAGTGCAAAGTAAAACCACATGAATTTTTCATAAGTCGGCATCATAAGAATGTATATCTCTTTTGTGCCCTTATGGATCCATCTCTGTCAAGATCCTATTGCAGCTGTCATTGCTCTGTCTTTGACACATATTGACCTCAATATATATCCTTATTTGGATTGAGGTCGATATATCTCAAAGACAGAGCAATGACAGCCACAATAATCTCGGGTACATTCTACTAATTATACTTTAAGAGCTATACAAATAATTTACATTTGATGTTATGTGCGTTACTACAGTTATGCCTCACAATAATCTTATGAGATAGTCATTATTACTGTCCCCGTTTCATGAATAAGAAAAAAAGACATTCTTAGGAAGATGAAAACATTTGCCCAAGGCCACATAGTAAGTGATAGAGATAGGGTACGGACCCAGATAGATTTAGTTCAGGGGCACATAAACTTGAAAGATTTGAAGGGCTGTGATCCCTGAGAGAAAGAGACACAGAGAAGAACAGCATTGCAGGTTAAGAAGCTAAAGAGACACCAGAGCAAATCCCAAAAAAACTCAAAGTGAAGATTTTGTTAGATTTGTTCTTTGCACAATGCTGCCTATTTACCAATAGATCTCTCTCTCTCTCTCTCAAGAGATGAAAAATTATGAGTTCATACTGATACCTCTAATTGCACACCATTATATGTATCCAATTGCTCAATCCTAGAATCCATTGAAAGTAGCTGTACAATTGTTAACCCATACCAATGCAAAGACAAACCTATTCATTGAGTTCAACAGATATTTACTATTCTTTGATTCTAAAATATATAATCGAAATACTGTCTTCAAAAGCTAGTTAGACTTTTTTACTCTTCGTGTTCAGTGTGGTATGCTATCCATTTAAAATACATTTATTTGCTTATGTTTGTATTTCATGTTAGGATTTCCCTCCGTTCTTATTGATCTGATTTTATTTCTTTCAAAATATAAAATATAAAATGGCTCCCAAAGTAAAAACTATACTGATAGAGTTGTCTATTCTTCTTCTTCCTTTTTTTTTAACTTACTTTAAGTTCTAGGGTACATGTGCACAATGTGCAAGTTTGTTACATATGTATACATGTGCCATGTTGGTGTGCTGCACCCATTAATTCGTCATTTACATTAGGTATATCTCCTAATGCTATCCCTCCCCACTCCCCCGACTCCACGACAGGCCCCAGTGTGTGATGTTCCCCTTCCTATGTCCAAGTGTTCTCATTGTTCAATTCCCACCTATGAGTGAGAACATGCAGTGTTTGTTTTTTCGCTCTTGCAATAGTTTGCTGAGAATGACGGTTTCCAGCTTCATCCATGACCCTACAAAGGACATGAACTCATCCTTTTTATGGCTGCATAGTATTCCGTGGTGTATATGTGCCACATTTTCTTAATCTAGTCCATCATTGATGGACATTTGGGTTGGTTCCAAGTCTTTCCTATTGTGAATAGTTCCACAGTAAACATACATGTGCATGTATCTTTATAGCAGCATGATTTATAATCCTTTGGGTATATACCCAATAATGGGATGGCTGGGTCAAATGGTATTTCTAGTTCTAGATCCTTGAGGAACCACCACACTGTGTTCCACAATGGTTGAACTAGTTTACAGTCCCACCAACAGTGTAAAAGTGTTCCTATTTCTCCACATCATCTCCAGCACCTGTTGTTTCCTGACTTTTTAATGATCGCCATTCTAACTGGTGGGAGATGGTATCTCACTGTGGTTTTGATTTGCATTTCTCTATTGGCCAGTGATGATGAGCATCTTTTCATGTGTCTTTTACCTGCATAAATGTCTTCTCTTGAGAAGTGTCTGTTCATCTCCTTTGCCCAGTTTTTGATGGAGTTGTTTGTTTTTTTTCTTGTAAATTTGTTTGAGTTCTTTGTAGATTCTGGATATCAGCCCTTTGTCAGATGAGTAGATTACAAAAATTTTCTCCCATTCTGTAGGTTGCCTGTTCACTCTGATGGTAGTTTCTTTTGCTGTGCAGAAGCTCTTTAGTTTAATTAGATCCAATTTGTCAATTTTGGATTTTGTTGCCATTGCTTTTGGTGTTTTAGACATGAAGTCCTTGCCCATGCCTATGTCCTGAATGGTATTGCCTAGGTTTTCTTCTAGAGTTTTTATGGTTTTAGGTCTAACATTTAAGTCTTTAATCCATCTTGAATTAATTTTTGTATAAGGTGTAAGGGATCCAGTTTCAGCTTTCTATATATGGCTAGCCAGTTTTCCCAGCACCATTTATTAAATAAGGAATCCTTTCCCCATTTCTTGTTTTTGTCAGGTTTGTCAAAGATCAGATGGTTGTAGATGTGTGCTATTATTTCTGAGGGCTCTGTTCTGTTCTATTGGTCTATATCTCTGTTTTGGTACCAGTACCATGCTGTTTTGGTTACTGTAACCTTATAATATAGTTTGGAGTCAGGTAGCGTGATGCCTCCAGCTTTGTTCTTTTTGCTTAGGATTGTCTTGGCAATGCGGGCTCTTTTTTGGTTCCATATGAACTTTAAAGTAGCTTTTCCCAATTCTGTGAATAAAGTTATTGGTAGCTTGATGGGGATGGCATTGAATCCATAAATTACCTTGAGCAATATGGCCATTTTCATGACATTGATTCTTCCTACCCATGAGCATGGAATTCTCTTCCATTTGTTTGTGTCCTCTTTTATTTCGTGGAGCAGTGGTTTGTAGTTCTCCTTGAAGAGGTCCGTCACATCCCTTGTAAGTTGGATTCCTAGGTATTTTATTCTCTTTGAAGCAATCGTGAATGGGAGTTCACTCATGATTTGGCTCTCTGCTTGTCTGTTATTGGTGGATAAGAATGCTTGTGATTTTTGCACATTGATTTTGTATCCTGTGACTTTGCTGAAGTTGCTTATCGGCTTAAGGAGATTTTGGGCAGAGATGATGGGGTTTTCTAAATATACAATCATGTCATCTGCAAACAGGGACAATTTGACTTCCTGTTTTCCTAATTGCATACCCTTTACTTCTTTCTTCTGCCTGATTGCCCCAGCCAGAAATTCCAGCACTATGTTGAATAGGAGTGGTGAGAGAGGGCATCCTTGTCTTGTGCCAGTTTTCAAAGGGAATGCTTCCAGTTTTTGCCCATTCAGTATGATATTGGCTGTGGGTTTGTCATAAATAGCTTCTATTATTTTGAGATACATCCCATCAATACCTAATTTATTGAGAGTTTTTAGCATGAAGGGCTGTTGAATTTTGTCAAAGGCCTTTTCTGCATCTATTGAGATAATCATGTGGTTTTTGTCTTTGGTTCTGTTTATATCCTGGATTACGTTTATTGATTTGAGTATATTGAACCAGCCTTGCATCCCAGGGATGAAGCCCACTTGATCTTGGTGGATAAGCTTTTTGATGTGCTGCTGGATTTGGTTTGCCAGTATTTTATTGAAGATTTTTGCATCGATGTTCATCAGGGATATTGGTCTAAAATTCTCTTTTTTTGTTGTGTCTCTGCCAGGCTTTGGTATCAGGATGATGCTGGCCTCATAAAATGAGTTAAGGAGGGATTACCCCTTTTTCTATTGATTGGAATAGTTTCAGAAGGAATGGTACCAGCTCCTCCTTGTACCTCTGGTAGAATTCGGCTGTGAATCCATCTGGTCCTGGACTTTTTTTGGTTGGTTGGCTATTAATTATTGCCTCAATTTCAGAGCCTGTTACTGGTCTATTCAGGGATTCAACTTCCTCCTGGTTTAGTCTTGGGAGGGTGTATGTGTCCAGGAATTTATCCATTTCTTCTACATTTTCTAGTTTATTTGCATAGAGGTGTTTATAGTATTCTCTTATGGTAGTTTGTATTTCTGTGGGATCAGTGGTGATATCCCCTTTATCATTTTTTATTGCATCTATTTGATTCTTCTCTCTTTTCTTCTTTATTAGTCTTGCTAGCAGTCTATCAGTTTTGCTGATCTTTTCAAAAAACCAGTTCCTGGATTCATTGATTTTTTTGAAGGGCTTTTTGTGTCTCTATCTCCTTCAGTTCTGCTCTGATCTTAGTTATTTCTTCCCTTCTGCTAGCTTTTGAATTTGTTTGCTCTTGCTTCTCTAGTTCTTTTAATTGTGATATTAGGGTGTCAATTTTAGATCTTTCCTGCTTTCTCTTGTGGGCATTTAGTGCTATAAATTTCCCTCTACACACTGCTTTGAATGCGTCCCAGAGATTCTGGTATGTTGTGTCTTTGTTCTCATTGGTTTCAAAGAACATCTTTATTTCTTCCTTCATTTCGTTACATACCCAGTAGTCATTCAGGAGCAGGTTGTTCTATTTTCATGTAGTTGAGCGGTTTTGAGTGAGTTTCTTCATCCTGAGTTCTAGTTTGATTGCACTGTGGTCTGAAAGAGTTTGTTATAATTTCTGTTCTTTTACATTTGCTGAGGAGTGCTTTACTTCCAACTATGTGGTCAATTTTGGAATAAGTGCAATGTGGTGCTGAGAAGAATGTATATTCTGTTAATTAGAGGTGGAGAGTTCTGTAGATGTCTATTAGTTCTGCTTGGTGCAGAGCTGAGTTCAATTCCTGGATGTCCTTTTTAACTTTCTGTCTCGTTGATCTGTCTAATGTTGACAGTGGGGTGTTAAAGTTTCCCATTATTATTGTGTGGGAGTCTGAGTCTCTTTGTAGGTCTCTAAGGGCTTGCTTTATGAATCTGGGTGCTCCTGTATTGGGTGCATATATATTTAGGATAGTTAGCTTTTCTTGTTGAATTGATCCCTTTACCATTATGTAATGGCCTTCTTTGTCTCTTTTGATCTTTGTTGGTTTAAAGTCTGTTTTTTCAGAGAATAGGATTGCAACTCCTGCCTTTTTTTGTTTTCCATTTGCTTTGTAGGTCTTCCTCCATCCCTTTATTTTGAGCCTATGTGTGTCTCTGCATGTCAGATGGGTCTCCTGAATACAGCACACTGATGGGTCTTGACTGTTTATCCAATTTGCCAGTCTGTGTCTTTTAATTGGAGCATTTAGCGCATTTACATTTAAGGTTAATATTGTTATGTGTAAATTTGATCCTGTCATTATGATGTTAGCTGGTTATTTTGCTCATTAGTTGATGTAGTTTCTTCCTAGAGTTGATGGTCTTTACAATTTGGCATGTTTTTGCAGTGGCTGGTACCAGTTGTTCCTTTCCATGTTTAGTGCTTCCTTCAGGAGCTGTTGTAGGGCAGGCCTGGTGGTGACAAAATCTCTCAGCATTTGCTTGTCTGTAAAGGATTTTATTTCTCCTTCACTAATGAAGCTTAGTTTGGCTGGATATGAAATTCTGGGTTGAAAATTCTTTTCTTTAAGAATGTTGAATGTTGTCCCTGACTCTCTTCTGGCTTGTAGAGTTTCTGCCAAGATATCCACTGTTAGTCTGATGGGCTTCCCTTTGTGGGTAACCCGACCTTTCTCTCTGGTTACCCTTAACATTTTTTCCTTCATTTCAACTTTGGTGAATCTGACAATTATGTGTCTTGGGGTTGCTCTTCTCAAGGGGTATCTTTGTGGCATTCTGTGTATTTCCTGAATTTGAATGTTGGCCTGCCTTGCTAGGTTGGGGAAGTTCTGGATAATATCCTGTAGTGTTTTCCAACTTGGTTCCATTCTCCCCATCACTTTCAGGTACACCAATCCAACGTAGATTTGGTCTTTTCACATAGTCCCATATTTCTTGGAGGCTTTGTTGGTTTCTTTTTACTCTTTTTTCTCTAAACTTCTCTTCTCGCTTAATTTCATTAATTTTATCTTCAATTACTGACACCCTTTCTTCCAGTTGATAGAATCGGCTACTGAAGCTTGTGCATTCATAATGTAGTTCTCATGCTGTGGTTTTCATCTCCATCAGGTCCTTTAAGGACTTCTCTACACTGGTTATTCTAGTTAGCCATTCGTCTAATCTTTTCTCAAGGTTTTTAGCTTCTTTGTGATGGGTTCAAACTTCCTCCTTTAGTTCGGAGAAGTTTGATCATCTGAAGCCTTCTTCTCTCAACTCGTCAAAGTCATTCTCCATGCAGCTTTGTTCCATTGCTGGAGAGGAGCTGCGTTCCTTTGGAGGGGGCGAGGCGCTCTGATTTTTAGAATTTTCAGCATTTCTGCTCTGTTTTTTCCCCATCTTTGTGGTTTTACCTACGTTTGGTCTTTGATGATGGTGACATACAGATGGGGTTTTGATGTGGATGTCTTTTCTGTTTGTTAGTTTTCCTTCTAACAGTCAGGACCCTCAGCTGCAGGTCTGTTAGAGTTTGCTGGAGGTCCACTCCAGACCCTGTTTGCCTGGGTATCAGCTGCGGAGCTGCAGAACAGCAAATATTGCTGAACAGAAAATGTTGCTGCCTGATCGTTCCTCTGGAAGCTTTGTCTCAGAGGGGTACCCGGCCATGTGAGGTGTCAGTCTGCCCCTACTGGGGGGTGCCTCCCAGTTAGGCTCCTCAGGGGTCAGGGACTCACTTGAGGAGGTAGTCTGTCTGTTCTCAGATCTCAAACTCCGTTCTGGGAGAACCAGTACTCTCTTCAAAGCTGTCAGACAGGGACATTTAAGTCTGCAGAGGTTTCTGCTGCCTTTTGTTCGGCTATTCCCTGCCCCCAGAGGTGGAGTCTACATAGGCAGGCAGGCCTTCTTGAGCTGTGGTGGGCTCCACCCAGTTTGAGCTTCCCAGCAGCTTTGTTTACCTACTCAAGCCTCAGCAATGGTGGGCGCCCCTCCCCCAGCCTCCCTGCCGCCTTGCAGTTCAATCTCAGACTGCTGTGCTAGCAATGAGCAAGGCTCTGTGGGCGTGGGACCCTCAGAGCCAGGCACGGGATATAATCTCCTGGTGTGCCATTTGCTAAGACCATTGGTAAAGTGCAGTATTAGAGTGAGAGTGACCTGATTTTCCATTTGCCATCTGTTACCCCTTCCCTTGGCTAGGAAAGGGAATTCCCTGACCCCTTGCACTTCCCAGGTGAGGTGATGCCTTGACCTGCTTTGGCTCAGGCTTGGTGGGCTGCACCCACTGTCCTGCACCCACTGTCTGACAAGCCCCAGTGAGATGAACCCGGTACCTCAGTTGGAAATGCAGAAATCACCCGTCTTCTGCGTTGCTCAGGCTGGGAGCTGTAGACTGGAGTTGTTCCTATTCGGCCATCTTGGAACAGCCCAATCGAGTTGTCTATTCTTATCCTCAACACTTTTACCCTATTCCCACCCGCTCCTTGAGATAAATTTGGTTCGTCTATTTTCCTGGCTTTCTTACACAAAACACATACTATCAATATACTATGTATACTCATTTACACTTTGCTTTTTTAACTTTCCCATACATTTTAGAAATTATTTATTCATGGGAACCAAATTTCTTTCCTCCTCCTCCTTCTTCTAGTAATCCAGTATAGGTAACATAGTAGCATAGTAATCCATTTTGTGCATGTGTTGTAGTTTACTCATCCAAACTTCAATTTATAAAAATTTATATGTTTACAGCATATTACATTTATAAGCAATGCTGCAATAATCAGCTTTGTTCATATGTATTTTGTATCATCGAAGGTCAAATTTAGCTTAAACTCCTAGAAGTAGGTATATCAAAATTTTCCCAGTCATCTGTTGATTGGATGAAGCTTTTGAACTAGTAAACTTGACAAGAAAGTTTTCAAAATAGAGCCTTCATTGACTTTGTAAATGTATTATTTTAAATATTAGTTTTTGTCCCTTTACTTTGTTGCCTTTCTTCAGAAATGATAATTATCTTTCTTTAGATCTTCTTTGCCTGGCTTCTAGTCCAACGAATTTTTCTTTGAGGCTTTTAACTTTTTATTATCTCATTCACATTGACCCAGTTATTTTTCTTCTTTGATTAGTGCTTCTTATTAGATTTTTATTTCATGTATTCTCTCCTGGGAACTGTATAATTTTTGACATAATTTTATCTTTTTGTTTTATTTATTAAGTAAAATATTATCCTGTTTCATTTCTTTCTTTTCTTTTTTTTGTTTTTTTTTTTTTTGAGACAGTCTTGCTCTGTCGCTAGGCTAGAGTGCAGTGGTGCAATCTCCACTCACTGCAACCTCCGCCTCCCAGGTTCAAGTGATTCTCCTGCCTCAGCCTCCTGAGTAGCTGGGACCACAGGTGTGCACCACCATGCCCAGCTAATTTTTGTATTTTTAGTAGAGACGGGGTTTCACCATGTTGGTCAGGATGGTCTCCATCTCTTGGCCATCTTGGAACCACCCAGTTGAGTTGTCTATTCTTATCGTCATGAATCCACCCTCCTTGGCTTCCCAAAGTGCTGAGATTACAGGCATGAGCCACCACGCCTGGCCTCATTTCTTCTTTTTGTATATATATATTAAAATTTTTATTTTTATTTTTATATCTCCAAATTCTTGTTGAGAATATCTGATGTAGTTTAGAATGCTGTGATATGGTTTCTTCTGCAACACGGTTATGTCTATTGGGTTTTTGCTTTTTATTTTTTGCAGAGATTTTCCCCCAGGAATTTTCATCCACTAAAATATGTGATCCTGGTTTTCTGCCTTTGTTTTATAACCTTAAAATAGCTTTAAGTCTATACATTTAGTGCAGAGGTTGGCATGTTCACAATTCCTATTTCAAGAGCATCCTCACCTGTCAGAGTAGCAGAATGAAATGTCTTTAATGGTTGTCTTTCAAAATAATGTTATGGAGGATGGGGTGTGTTTCCTTTTATCATTTTTGGGGTCTCTTATAACTTACAGTTTCTAAATTTCTTCTTATTGTTATATTCCCCTTCACTACTCATTCTTTACTCTTTATTTCTTTTTACCCTCTTTTCTTCAGAGCCCAGTGCCTTTCTGGGTTGCCTTTCTGTTCTACCACCTCAAGCTCTGTGCACTTTTAACTACCGTGCCAGCAAATCAGGGCTCTGATTTCAGTAGGATACTTTCTCAGTACTATAACACTTAGAGTGGACTTTCTTTTTTCTTTTCTTTTGAAGGGCGGGCTTTTGAACAATCTAAGGCTCTTTTCCCCAGCATGTTTCTTCTGTAATGACTTCTGGGTCCCTGCTCACTCCTTCTTCCCATACTCTCCATGCAGGGATATAGCAGGATCTCATATCACACTTCTGATTAAAATTGGGATTTACTTTTTGAACTTGCCAGTAATGTGAAATATCTAATATTCTAGATCTTTTAGTTAAGTTGAGGGCATGTGGGTTTATTTGTCCTTCCCATTGACCTGTAAAGATTTTTTTTTTTTTTTTTTTTTTTTTTTTTTTTTTTTTTTGTGAAGGATGTGTGGAGAGATTTCTTGATATCTCGGAGGGAGCATCGTTCTGGTAATACGGCAAAACTTAGAGAGGAAACCAACCATTGTTGTCAAGCTGAGAGGCCATTGTTTAGGTGACAATAATAAGAACCAGGAGCAAATAGAAAAAAGCACATCCTTTATTCTCCCACCAGCCTTCTCATGTTCCTTTGGAACCTTATTGCAGGCTTAGCAGAATCAACTGGCAAAGAAGAAATGTAGATTGCAGAGTCCTTGTCCCATCATCGCAAAGCAGAGCAGAGAAAGAGGTGGGCTTGGAATTGAGAGAAAACAACGTAATCCAGTACTGTGAATTTGGTCACTTTATTCAAATTCACTCAGCTGTACAACTAAGATTTATACACTTTTCTGCACATATGTTTTATTTCAGTGAAAAATTACTTAAAAAGAAAAGATAATCCTATGTACCCCTTCTCCCTCCAGAACCCATTCCACCTGAAGAAGATTCTCAGGTGGATAGTTGTGACTATTGTGGCTATAAGTGGTGATGCCATCTATATTTCTGTGGCAATGATGCTCACTTGGCCAGGTACTAATCCATCGGTTAAAGAAAAACAACAATTGGCTTTTTCTTTAATAGCGATTTGGGCATTGTCCTACAGAGAGACATCGAGAATAAAAAAAATTCTCTATGTAGAATCATCAGGGATTGTCTCACTTAAACAGATATATTTTAATTTCAAAATAACAAGATAATATAGAGAGGACTACCCAGGGTATTTTTCTTATCTCCCAAATAAATGTTGTGCCCCACACTTATCTTTATATGTCTAATATATCACTGTGTTATTGGTGGATTGTCATTCAAAGTTACATTCTTCTAAATTCTCACAAATTTATTATGTACAAGCAACTCCCTTTGAATAAAGCAATGTCTTATTTTGTTTTCAAAGCTCTAACCCACCATTCACAATGGGAAACAGGAAGTTTTAAGCATGTTTAGGAAAGTATTACAATTTTCTTTTGTTTCAGCACCAAGGTACCAATGTTGCTTGCTTGCCATGTCTCTTAAAATTTTAACTTAAAAGTTAAATTTGCAAAAACTCTTTCAAAATGTTGACATTTAAAATATATAAAAGCATAGAAATACTTATAAAATGATCTTTCTTACAAGCAAAAAACAGAAAAGCAAAAGCCTAATTTTTTTTAACTAAGCTTGATATTTCAATGGGAAAAAAAATTATGGTGGGATATTTTCACAGGTGGGAAAGAATACCAAAATTCAAATGTTTAATGTAATGACTATAAAAAGAATCCTTAAGCCATTGCAATACTGCCAAAATAAAAAGGACATTTTAAAAAAATTTTATGTTATCCCATGTTCTAACAAATTTGGTATGAGTTTGCAAGTTTGAGTTCTCTCTCTGCTATTCCTGACTCTATTGTTTTGGAACACTGAAGTATTCTCAGCCTTCAATTCCTCAGGCATAAAATAAGAGGAAGAACCTGTCCTCACCTGCCTCCTTGTGCAATCATCACAAAGACAACTTGCCCTGTAACGGAAAGTAAAGGTACACCATTCAATGGGCTCTGTCATTCATGGTCTTCATTTGTTTAGTCCTACAGATGACCAAAATGTAATCCCTAGATTCTAACTGGGTATAAAAGGCTGCAAATTGCTATTTCAGAAACTCTTCTCAGCCACAGCAGCATTTGCAGACATGAACATGTATGTCAACACCCTTCTTCCTGAATTCACTGCAGACATTACTAAATGAACACAGATGTTTTATTCTCTAAGCTTATGTGCAGGTCCCTGTATTATTCCCAGCTCATCATTCCTGAAACACTAATGGGTTCCACCCTTCTCTTCTGCTATTCAAATTTTGTTGCTTGAGCTTTCTGTTTCACACCCTATGTAACCCTATGAAAGCTCTGCCTTTTTAATTTTTTTTTTCTTTTGGGAGTGGAGGAGGAGGTGGTGGAAGTGGGTAGAGAAGAAGTGGGTAGGGAAGCTTAGAGATGCCCTGGACCAACAATATTTGCATAGGAAGTTTAGAGAATCCTAGAAGGTGCTGTAACATGAGAAAATATGTCTGCTGGAACATCAACAAAAGATATACAGATAGTTATAAGTAAAGATGTGGTTTCTAAACCTAGAAGTATAATCAAGTGGTGAAGGGTGACCTTAAAGATTCCTTATTTGTTGGCCATAGAATTGATGGCTTGCTCTCTTTATATTCTGGATCTCCAAAGCTTCCCAAATACTCTCCCAAGCTCAAGATCTCTTTTCTCTGTGATCCCAGTCTCCTCCAAGTTGGCCCTTGAACAACACAGGTTTGAACTGTGTGGGTCCACTTAGATACAAACTTTTTTTACAACTCTGCCACCCCTGAGACCAACCCCTCCTCATCCTTCTCAGCCTACTCAATAGGAAGATAATGAGGATGAATACCAATATGATGATCCATTTCAACTTAATGAATAGTAAATATATTCTCTTTTCTTTATGATTTTCTTTGTAACATCTTTTCTCTAGCTTTCTTTATTGTAAGAATAGAGCATATAATATACATATATAAATAACATACAAAATATGTGTTAATAGACTTCATGTTATCGGAAATGCTTCCAGTCAACAGTAAGCTATCAGTGGTCAAAGTTTTAGGGAGTCAAAAGTTATATTAAATGTTTGACTGCACGTGGGTCAGTGCCCCTAATCCTCACATTGTTTAAGGATCAAATATACTTTTCTCTAGTAGCTGGTGCAAGGAGTAAAAGGTAATAATCTCCTTAATTCCTCTTTCGACTATGATGGCCAAAACTCCTTTTTTATTCTCAAGTTTTATTTTGGAAGTGAAAAAAAAGCTGAACATTGATACTTCTTTAAAAAAATTGCACTATAAAATGTTAGTTTTCATACAAGCATGCTCAGTTCTCTAACAGAATAAAGAAAAGGTTGACCTCAAGTAAGTAGGGAGCAGAATACCGTTAAGTTAATATACATAAAAATATTTCCCTTGAAATCAATACAAACTGACTCTCAAAATGAAACTTATCTGCCACTGCTGGTCTCGAGATTAATACACAGTTACTTAGAGTTTTTCTTTGGCTTAAGTGTCTTTTCCTGCAACATCCCAGAACTTGCCTTTTTGAACACTCTTCCCACTGTCTTGTATATTTTGAGAATTTATATTCATCCCCAAATATTAAGGTTAAATGGCACCATGTCTGTGAAATCTTTCTTGATTCTACCATGAGATTTGATTATATCCTCTTCAGCATAACACCTGTAATTTGTATCAACCTCCATGTGTTATATGCATTAATATGATTAGAGGTTTAAAGACCTCACAGAAAAGTAGAGGTGATAGACAAGGAAGTACGGAATTATCTGCATTTAAACCTGCATTTGCTCTCTTCATTTCTCTATCGTCAGTGCCTTGCACAGTGCCTGACACAATGGAAATCTTCAAAGTCTGTTAAATAGTCAAGATATGTTACATGTTAAATGAATGTTTTGATAATTTAATTTCTATAAGATTACATTTGAAGAAATGGATTCTTCAAATATTTAAGTCTCTAGTTTCAATCACTTAGCTTGCAAATGGAAATGATGATTCATGCCCAGATCATCAGACTCATGTGCGGGTTGAATTATTTTCTCATTATATTTTGTTTCTTCTTTATGATCTTTCTATTCATTTCCAGTATTTCCTTTACATTCAATATTTAAAAGTTGGATTTTCTAAGGACCTGAAATGCATGTACAGCATTTCAAGAAGGATCGTATTTGTACTTAATAGGCTATTTAATAGACTATTGAACATATGAGGGTAGGTACCTATTTGTCTTTTTTCTTTTCCTTTTGACTGCTAGGCATCAACTGTGTTGTACAGAGTCTAGCACATAAGTTTTAAATACATATTTTGAATAAATCAATAAGGAAATTAATATGAATGAGTAGAGAGATATATTGATATATTCTCTTTATAACTGATAAGTCTATTCATGAAGTTTAAGGTTGAATATTTGACCAGCCACTTTCATTGCCATCTTCTCATTATTATCATTAGACATATTATTATGGACCCAGATTTTCCTTTTTTTAGTATATAAAGTAAGGAAGAGGGTGTGTCATGCCCCTTCCCCCTAAAAAATATATATCCTATTAAAAAAAGAAGTGAGTCAGCAGCCTACAACTCAAATTGTTTGGTGAATAAAATACAGAATAACAACAATAATAGTGATATTTGACACATATTAAGCACTTGTGCTAATTGTATTACATGTACTAGCTTATTACGAGATGGCCATTGAAACAGCTATTATCTATATTTAAATATGAGGAAGTAGAAACAGAACAATTTAGCAACTCACTAAAGTCACAGAACTAATAAGTGAACAAGCCAGAATTATAATGGAGACCTATTTGACTCAACCACTTCTACTCTACACACTGCAAGTTCTGGACCAGTTACCAGGGATTTTAAAATACAAAAATCAAACTGGGAATAACTCCAACATGTTAAACTGGTTTTTTACTGCTGGAATTATTGGGGCCTTTGACATGCTAAAATGTGTTGTAAATTTTCATTAGGGAGAGAATGTGTTGCATTTATTAAATTGGTATATTTGACCATGAAAACTTTTATTTCACCCAATGGTATTCCATGGAATATACTTTGTGAAAGGTTGCTTTAAAGATTTAAATATGTCTACTCTTTTTTGCTGTTGTTGTTGTTATTTATTTATTTCCTTATTTATTTTTTACTTTAAGTTCTGGGATACAAGTGAAGAACATGTAGGTTTGTTACATATGTATATGTGTGCCATGGTAGTTTGCTGCACTTATCAACCAGACATCTAGGTTTTAAGCCTGGCATGCATTAGCTATTTGTCCTAATGCTCTCCCTCCCCTTGCCCCAATGCCCCTGGCCCCAGTGTGTAGCAAAGATGTGGAACCAACCCAAATGCCCATCAATGATAGACTGGATAAAGAAAATGTGGTACATATACAACACGGAACACCACTCATCCATAAAAAGGAATGAGATCATGATTTTTTGCAGGGACGTGAATGAAGCTGGAAGCCTTCATCCTCAGCAAACTAACACAGCAACAGAAAACCAAACATGGCATGTTCTCACGCAAAAGTGGGAGTTGAACAATGTCTCCTCTTTTCATTTGAAGAAGCAATCAACTGGTCATAGATTATAGACTGAGTGTAACTGTGTTAGCAGAAACATGTCTCATTGAATTTGACTATGCTTTCTGAAAGAGAATTATAAGTGTGAATGGAGCATTCTATATAAACAACTCAATGTAAGCCCATGTTTAGTATTAGTATACTTAGAAAAATGAATTCTTTCTTTTTAGTAGATTTGTTGTTAGCCCTTCAGGACACTGGCAAATTGTTTGGTATAACATTAACTTAGCTGAATTTTGTAGAATGTTATACCATTTATGAAGTCCAAGTATCACTTTACTTCATCTTTACAAGAACTCTGTGAGGTCAGACTTATTCTCATCTTCATTTTATAAATGAGTAAGATGAAATTTAACGTCACCATTTTGCATACTCGATGTCTCTTGGTTTCACATTGGCAGTGAGTGATGAAGTGGTAACTCAAGTGCAATTCGGTACTAGCAAATTATCATCATGATTGCCTGTACTTAAACCACACACTTTCCACCTTTTGGAGTAGCTGGAGAACATGCACAGGGATTTTCTTCTTCTTCTAACTCAAGGAAAAAAATCAAAAGAAGAACCTTCCCTTGGTATTTCATCTTTTCAGCACCTTTGCCCATCCCAACCAAGCCTTTTTCTTTTCTTCTCTTTCCTTTTCCCTATTTATTTAGACATTTTCTAAAGACCTTAGATATTTCAAGATGACCATATTCTTCAATGCATCCATTTACATGTCACCAGTTTCTATTTTGTCAACACTGGAGCTTCTAGCCCACGGATTTTTTTGTGATATGGCTAAAGAAAGTTTCTTCCAGTGTGTTAGAGATGTTTGGTTTTTCTTTTTCACAGGTCGACTGTTAAATTTGTACTGTACATTTATCAGGGATGCTCTAAATGGTACTAAAGCTGACAGGAAACAAGCAGGAGCTGACAGCTTCACTCCAGTTACAGCTGATTAAAGGCTGCTGAGGCCCGAGGGCCCAGTTTCTAAAAGAGGACCACTCAGACTCGACCAGAACAATTCCAGCCTGCATCTTTTACACCAGCTGCAGTGGAAATGCCTGAATACAGCACTGGTGAAAAAGGCTGTGGAGGATGAAAGCCAGCAGTTTAATAGCATTTACCAGAAAAGAATTGCATAGTTTGGAAAATAAAACAAACGCACATACTAATGTTCCCAACTGTAGAGGTGCACTATGTACACAAACACAAAGATGGCATGTAAGCTTGCAGACAGGTCTATATTTCTAATGATAACCCTTAATGATTATTACCAACTATTATGATGCCAAGTAATTGGTGCACAAGAATACATAATAATAATAGGCTTTACATTTGCATAGTAGCTTTAAATCCCAAAATGTTTTCCCATCTGTTATTTCATTTGATCTTTCGCGACAATCACAGAAGTTAAGAATGAGAATCAATACCCCAATTTTACAGGTGAGGAAATTAGAGTACCTCAAGAGTTGGTGAACTTGACAAAGTTTAAAGAGCTATTACATGGCAGAGATGGTATTTAATTATTTACACTTCCCACACATTTTTTTTTTGGTGAAATTGGTGCCTATATATGATAATTATGGATTTAGATTACTTTCTGCAAACATCAGCTGCCCTACAGAAACCGCTTTACTTATTATTGCTTATGTCAAACAAATTATCTGTTTATGAGTCTACAACATGCTAAGATTCCTTGAGGCAGGGACTATGTCCTTTTTAAAAATATTTGTATTCTTACCTCCTGGTACAAACATATTTTATAACAACCTGTTCAATTGAACTGAAATGAAGAATTCCTTAAGAAGGTAGTTATATTAGACATTAATCTGTAAAATGAGAGTATTAAATAAATAACTTGAATTGATAAGTTATTTTGTTATCAGAGGACATTATCAAGAAAGTGAAAAGACAACCTACAGAATGGTAGAAAATATTTGCGAATCTATATCCGCATGGATATTCAAATCTATATCTAAGAGTTTAATATGCAGAATCTATAAAGGACTCCAACAATTCCTCAACAAAGTACCTGGTTAAAATATGAGCAAATAACTTGAATAGACATTTCTTCAAGGAAGACATACAAATAAGCAGTGAGCACATGCAAAGATGTTCAACTTCATTCGTTATTAGAAAAATGCATGTCAAAACCACCATGTGATACCATTTCACAGACTAGGATAGTTAAAATAAAAAACAAAACCAAAATAAGAAAATAGCAAGTGTTAGGGAGAATGTAGGGAAGTTAGAACCCTCCTACATTGCTCTTAGGAATGCAAAATGGTCCAGCCACTGTGGAAAACAGTTTGACAGTTCCTTCAAATGCTAAACTTACAAGTATTACATGGAAATTTGTAATATACTCAAAATCATTAAAAGCAAAGATCAAACAGATACTTGTACTCCATGTGTGCTGCAGCATTATTCACAATAGCCAAAATGTAGAAACAACTCAACTGTCCATCAACAGGTGAATGGTTAAACAAAATGTGGTATATACGTACAATGGGATATAATTCAGCCTTAAAAAGGAATGAAATTCTGGGCTGGGCGCGGTGGCGCACGCCTGTAATCCCAGCACTTTGGGAGGCGAGAGGGGCAGATCACGAGATCAGGAGATCGAGACCATCCTGGCTAACACGGTGAAACCCTGTCTCTACTAAAAATAGAAAAAATTAGCCGGGCGTGGTAGCGGGCGCCTGTAGTCCCAGCTACTCGGGAGGCTGAGGCAGGAGAATGGCGCGAACCTGGGAGGCGGAGCTTGCAGTGAGCAGAGATCGCGCCACTGCACTCCACCCTGGGCGACAGCGTGAGACTCCGTCTCCAAAAAAAAAAAAAAAAAAAAAAGGAATGAAATTCTGATCCATGCTACAATACAGATGAATCTGTTGAAACTGGACCCCTTCTTTACACCATATACAAAAATCGACTGAAGATGGATTAAAGACTTAAGTGTAAAATCCAAGACTGTGAAAACCCTGGAAGATAACCTACAATACACCATTCTGGACATAGAATGAAAGTTAAAAAAGAAACAAACAAAGAAAAAAAGAATCTTGAAAACATTATGCTAGGTGAAATAAATCAGACACAAAAGAACAAATAGTGTATGATTCCACTTAAGTAAAATATCTGGAATAAGCAAATTCATAGAGACTGAAAATAGATTTGAGGTTCCCAGGGGCTAGGAGGAAAAAAATAAAGGCAAGTTATTATTGTCTAATAAGTAGAGAGTTTTAATGAAAAAGTTCTGGAAATGGATAATGGTGATGATTGCACAACAATGTATAATTAATGACACTGAATTATACACTTGAAATGGTTAAAATGGGAAATTTTATGTTATATATACTTTCTCACAATAACAAATTTTAAAAAATCAGCGTGAAGTGTTTTCATACCTGTGACCTCACCTCTGCTTGGAAAATGTGAGTTGTGATAATCAAATGAAAGAGCGAAAGTTTGTTCAGATGACAAAGAATTTAGTGAAAAATATGGAAGAAAAGAAGACATTTAGACCTAATAAACATATTTTATTGCATGTGAAGCTCTGAAAATATGTTCCAAATAAAATTATTTATGCTCACTAAGGAGTCTTTTATATTTTTAAAAAATTGCACATTTTTATAGAAATTGCAGTAAAAGACACATTATGAAAACAATTTTTATTTTCTTAAGTAAGTTTAAAATTCACAAAGTCAAATTTATATATATAGGGAAGCTGAACAATTAACACAAGTTGTTTGAAAATGTTAGCCAATTATTTAGAAAAATTCTGTATAGACCACACATTTATCTTTATCTTGAATTTCCAATTTTTCTACTATAGGAATATTTTCAGGGCTGGGTGTGGTGGCTCACGCCTGTGATCTCAGCACTTTGGGAGGCTGAGGCGGGCAAATCACAAGGTCAGGAGTTCGAGACCAGCCTGGTCAACATGGTGAAACCCCCATCTCTACTAAAATACAAAAAATTAGCCAGGAGTGGTGGTGTGCACCTGTAATCCCAGCTACTCAGGAGGCTGAGGCAGGAGAATCGCTTGAACCCAGAAGGCAGAGGTTGCAGTGAGCCAAGATTGCGCCATTGCACTCCAGCCCAGGTGACAGAGTGAGACTCCGTCTCAAAAAAAAAAAAAAGCAAAAATTAACTGGGCATGGTGGCGAGCACCTGTAATCCCAGCTACTCGGGAGGCTGAGGCAAGAGAATTTATTGAACCCGGGAAGTGGAGGTTGCAGGGAGCTGAGATCACACCATTGCACTCCAGCCTGGCAGACAAGAGTGAAGCTCCATCTCAAATAAATAAATAAATAAATAAATAAATAAATAAATAAATAACAATAAATAAATAAAAAATCAGGTAAAGCAATTATCTGCATACTCAACTAATGGACCCTCTTTATGCTTTTAAATGTTTTAAATATCACTCTATTATAAATTATCTTATTTGAGGTAAACTATTTTTCCTATTAAATCCATAAGTTATCTGCTAAAACACTTAAATTTAGTTAATTGAATGGAAGTAAATAGCAAATAATTATATCATGACATCAATTGGATAATATATTTTTCACTTTTAAATCAGTTGCTTTATGTAGCTTTGAAAATAATTTTAATAAAAAGCCTTTAATTTTAGATTTATATTTTTGTCAGCATTTATTTCATTAATCATTTG
This sequence comes from Homo sapiens, assembly GCF_000001405.40. Taxonomy (NCBI): domain Eukaryota; kingdom Metazoa; phylum Chordata; class Mammalia; order Primates; family Hominidae; genus Homo; species Homo sapiens. The sequence goes on along the minus strand of NC_000006.12, from coordinate 9,431,787 downwards.
TGTTTCTAGTTCCCTGTGTAATGTGTCATTACATAGTTTTTCCACATAAAGAGATTTCCAATGAATATAGATAACTTTGTCACATTTACAGTGCCAATTCACGTGAGCCAAGAACTTAAACTTTGAAATTTCTTGCTTCTTCTCTTGGTGGTTGTTTTCCAAATACTAAGGTACCTTGCGGTTGCATTCATGCGTTAAAAGGAGCATTTGAAAGTAAAAATGTAGTTCGCTTTAGCTTCTCCCAGGTTGATTATATTTGATATGGGTCATTTAATCATTTTCTCCTGAAACATGATTTCTAAATGTGCATACAAGTGTGTGTAATTATTTTTAAATGCTTTTACTAAAATCATTAGAGTTTTGTTTTTTGGGTTCTTTTTTAACCATTTTAACCAGAGCTTTTCATTAAACCATCCCACCACATTCTCCCCTTTAATTCCCAGCCTCATTTATTAGTACCTGAGGCCTGATTCTCAAAAAGGCTGATAAAACTCCCTGCATAATCCTTAGAAGAGCTTGGCTTAATACTGTACTTCTAAAACATGTTTGGAAAAAGAAACCATTGCTTGTGGTTTTGAGAATAATGCCAAACATAACTATAATACGTCAAAGAAAAATAAGATGTGATTTCCCTTTATATTTAAATTTGAGTTTATTACAAATAGATTTAAAAAGTTGCTGCTTTAATTTGTTTTTAATAAAAATCTTAGAAAATTGTAATCAAGATATTTTATAGTACACACTAAAAAATTGTATTTCCATATATTTAGATGTAATCTTCAAGAAAATGTCTCTAAAAATGATAAAATCCATAGCTACCTTACTATGGAGTGTAACTACTATAGTTTTGAAAAAGCGAAAATTTTTAAAATACCCGCTCAACTCCATTTCACTCATCTTTTATTCATTTATGCAATCATTCATTCAAGTAATATTTGTCATCAATTATCAAATTCTGTACCAGGTTCTGTGCTAGATTACCTACTTAAAGAATAAGATGCCTACAGGGATCATGAGATCTGGCAGGGAAGAAGGCCAACTGAAGTAATCTGGAATGTGGACTTCAATATCAACAAAATGCTTTATGAGATCAAGAACTGATTCACTGATTTTTTTCTAGAGAGTGCCGAAGGACTTCCTTGTCGAGGTGGTGTGCCTGGTTTGCCTCATCCTGTTGATTGGGGTTTTGGCCAGCAGAGACAGAAGGAGAGTACATTTCAGGTGGAGGGACTGGAATGAACACAGGCACTGGAGAAACAAAAGCACATGGGGCATTTGTGAATGTGAGGAATTTGACATTTTAAGAGTGCAAGAAGCTAGAGGGACAAAGGACACAGATACAAGGCTAGAAACCTAGCACAGGGGTAAAGAAGAGCACGTATGTGTAGGTTTACAAATAGAGGAAAATCTTACAAGCTTTCCTTCAACTTTTCTCACCCATTGTATACCCTTGTACAAGCTGGAAGGCCTGATTCATGAACACCAATATTCACCCTGAAGTAAGCTGTTATAAATCCATAGAGACAAGTTCTAAAAACCTGCAGCTTTTTACTTAAGAGACAAAGACTTCTCCTTCCCACTCTTAGATTGAGCACTGCCTTGAAAAACTGAGTGCAAGCCTTCTGTAGAGCTGTGAAAGAGATGGAGCGGGGTACAGAAAACAAGAAAAAATAATAGATTGAAATTAAAGTGAATCCCTAGAGGAAGAGGATGTGGACTGGGAAAGAGGCATTGGAATATAGGATAAAGAGATCCAGGATCCAGACCAATCTCTGAAAACATCTAGCCTTAAAGTCTGCAATACTTCCATCACCTCTCAGAGGCTGCATTTCCTTTTCTGAACCAAGAGAGTTGGACTTGACAATCTTAGATGTCCTTCTAGATATAATGTAATATGACTATAACCCATGATTATGAAAAGAATGATGAAAATTGAGAAAGGAAAAATTCAATCATAGTTTAACCTTTAACTAACTATATACCTTTGAGTATCTCCACCCAAGTCAATTATTTATTTTTTAGAAAAGATTAATAATAGCTGCATCTACTCTGTGAATGTGCATTTGTTCGTATTTGGGGAGAATTTCACAGACTATACAAATGATGAAATTTCTTCTTTTATAGCTGCATTAAATAAGCATGAAATCAGTGTGAAAGTGAGCACCTATTAGGTCTGGTCCCACCACAACACAAACAAAATGAGCAACTTTTGGGAGACTGAAGGCAAAAGTGATTAAGGTTAATGCAAGATTAATTGGCCATCTCTTACTGAAATGTGAATGTCTCCACAGTGGCCAGGCAGAGGATAACCCTTCCTCACCGACCGGGCTTACTTTGGGCACAGTTCACAGCGTGTCATCATTGCACCCAAAGCAATCATAACCAGGCTTATAAGCTGCAATCATTTAAAAAAATTCCCATGGTGATACGGTTTGACTGTGTCCCCACCCAAATCTCATTTTGGATTGTAGTTCCTATAATCCCCGCATGTCATGGGAGGGAGGCAGTGGGAAGTAATTGGATCTTGGGGGCAGTTACCCCCATGCTGCTCTCATGATAGTGAGTGAATTCTCATGAGATCTGATGGTTTTATAAAGGGATTTTCCCCTTTGTTCAGCCTTCTGTCTCCTGCTGCCATGTGAAGAAGGATGTGTTTGCTTCCCTTTCTGCCATGATTATAAGTTTCCTGAGGCCTCCCCAGCCCTGTGGAACTGTGAATGAATTACACCTCTTTCCTTTATAAATTACCCAACCTCGGATATTTCTTCATAGCAGCATGAGAACTGACTAATACACATGGCCAGAATCCCTTGCTTTGCAAAGGGTACTCTATCGTGACTGTGTTGCAATTGTTCTCAGCCATTTGATAGCCTCAGATAAGATGGCTAGGTATTTTTTTCTAGGAAGGAGTAAGAACTGTGCTAGGCACTGTGGCAGACACTGATCAAGAACAAACCAAGCATTAGTTTTTTCTAGCTTCTCAACAGCTGTGAAATATAGGTGATATTGTCCCCACTACACAGCTAAGAAAATATTGAGTTACAATAGATGGAAGATTTTTCCAAAGGCATATAACTAACACTGACACAAAGTGGGGGTGCTTTGAATCCACTTCTGTGTAATGAGAAAGTTAGATAAAATTCTAAATATGTGTGGGTTATTGGATGATGAATACATAGTTATAACTCTTGGTCATATGAGGTTAATGTGGATTGAAAAAGCATAAATGGCTATGCTGTCTTTTCCTTATAAGTCAAAAGAACCATTTGCTAGCTTGGAAGAGCACTTCTTCCTCTCCTAGAATTATACTGAAGATGGAATCCACTTATAAAAATCTACAAATAAATGCCATTTACTGTAATAATGTCCGTAAACTGGATGGGGAAACCACAGTGGCAAACAAGATTTTAAAAGAAGTAAGGCAAGTTTGTTTTGCATGCTGTTTTCAAAGGATACTAAATGAATGATCTTCCTTTCTCCTCATGGTTATTTCCTACCCAGTTATGTGTTTCAGTTCAAACAGTGGAGGGAGCAGTAGCTAAGTACATCCATATGTCTACTTACTGCCTACTCCTCTTCCTTTCCTGTAATCTAGATTCATGATGCATCTATCCTTCTCCTTCATCCACAAGGTCCTAGGACATTCAGGTAGCCAGTCTGCCCTTAAATATGTCTCTAAGGAAATGGTGCTAATTAGTATTGGAATTTACAGCCTTCCATTTTATTGACTTGTCCTACTTTCTTCGATAATTAACTAATGAGTAAAGTAATGAGCTATGTTAGTCAGTCATGCTGTTCAATTAAACGGCAAATCAATTATTGAAAATAGTTTCGGACAGCTCTAATGTTGGCATGATGTGTGTGTATGTGTGTGTGCATATTTAATGCCAGTGTAATTATGTCCTAGATATTACAAAGTCAGCCATGTAAGGATGGTATGACTGGAAAGGTCCTTTCTGACTGCAGTGCAAATCTGATCAGTTACCAAAATGCAAACAAGTCATTATAGTATTTGTCTATGGCCATTCTACATTTGTAATTCATACTTAGCTGAGACATCACAGCTTCCTTGAGCTTATATTTTACAAAGCAATATCTAATGGATGAGTGATAAGAGATAACAAAGAAAAACAAATCAACTTTTTTTCACCTTAAAAAGGAGTCCAGGGCGACATGATTAAGGCAGAGAACAGATCTAATTGTGATTTAACTTTTTTTTTCATCTTGGGTTCTTCATCTTAAATATTTACTTGTTTTTCCTTGATGGTATTGGTGAATTACCCTTAAGTTTGAAAATTTGGTGTTAAATACAAGATAGAAATATTTCTCAGGCATAAGGCATAATTCAATATCACTGAGAGTGAGACAAGCACACACACACAAACACACCCACACCCACACCCACACATGCACACACACATCTAGCAGAACAAAAGCCAGATTGGCAAACTGCAAAGGTCCTCTGTGAGTCTCTCTGGTTTTGGAGCAGCCCTAGACGACAGGCGAAGTGACTGTGAACTTCTCACCAGCTCTGTGCTCAACCTCACCATCATTCCCAATCCTTTGCTACTTTTAGTTTCTCAGTCTCTTAAGAAGTGCCTGTTACCTGTGCCTCTTTTCTTTGCCTTACCCTACACTAGTAGTTTACTGTGGATTTTAGGTAGAACACCCTACAGTTTTTTCCACCTGGTCTTGACCTTGTACCAATGTAATATTTTTGGCATACATAACTGGTTTAGCCTGATGCGTTTTTAAAAAACATAATGTGGCTTAGATCATGAATCTTCAAAGATGTCAGTTACAATACCGTATTTGCTCATAACAGCCCGCAACTGTTTTTAAAAGACCATCTTTAATTTGAGATCTGTTCCATCTTACTTCATCTTCATCACAGCCTGTTGTCAGCAAAATAGCAGAAAAATTAGTATATTTTCCCTTAATAGAGTTTACGAAGACTGTGATTTTAGAGTTCTCAAGATTCTGAACAATATCTTTTACCAGAGAAAACCTGAGTAAAGGCTTAAATGATACAACTTTTGCTAGCATGTGAAAATGCAATTTGCACCTTCAAAATATCTGCAAATTGTTTAAAGGTGTAAAGATAGTTTTTATTCCCTAAACTATAGTTTAGAATCTTAACTTTCAAAAGTGATTAAGCTTTGTTATAGGAACAAAAAAGCGAAGCAAATCAAAGCCAGGTCAAAAAAGGGAACATAAAGTTTTTATTTCCAAACAGCTTTAATTCTGTGTTTGTGTTCTTGCCTGAGAGGAGACAAGTAACACAAACATTCCCATATGAATTAAATTAGAATTTACATATGAATTACATTAGAAATATGAGCTCCATCGAGGAATAATTAGCACTGTCCTGGGTTATGTGAAGGCGAACAAAATTAAATAAGAACAATTTCAAAGGCAAGTTTTGTTTTGCCTCTTCAACTAAGCGGGTTTAATCAGTGATAATGACTGAAATAAATCCACTCCATCTGAAGTAATGTACAGCTTACCATATTGTGTGAAATGCCATTACTGACTTAGTAAATCATAAAGTCAATGAGACTACATCATTCACCAGTCTTTGACATGGTTACTTTGTGCTTAATGCCAAGTGTAAAGGTGGGAGAATTTATCCAATCAGAAAACATAGTGAGGGCTAATGTTACAAAAATATTCCAGGGAGACATCATAAAAGTCAATGAGACTCTGAGAATCACATGATACATGTTTTGTATTGCATTTGTTGATGTTGTTACTTTGATTGTTATTTTATGCTCACAGAGGACAAAGACTGAAATTTCTCTCTACAAAATGGCAGCTGTTACTAAAGAAAGAGAAATTAAAATATCAACTGGAATCAGCCCAGTGACATGGACCTGCTTCAGCCACTAAGCAGGGTTATGGTTTATGAGTGCCTACCCTAATGAGCTAAACTCCAGTGACCATAAAACTGAAATATAATTATGACATTAAAGATGCCTATATTTGAACTTAATTATTAATTAATTTAATGAGAGGAGTGGAGGTTGTAAAATTGCTAATTAAATGGCTCTGTAAAACTGCAGATGGTGGAGGATTTACCAAATGATAAATCCCATACAGTACTTTTGCTATATCAATATTCTATTAATATACAGTACGCTAGAGGTGCTGGCTAAAAGGTAGCTGTGAAGTTGCACAAGCATGCAGCATGGTACGACCTAGAATTCCAAATGACAGCAACCTTAAAGAAACTTCAGCCCCTCTGTTCAGAGAAGGTCCTAGAATCTTAAATGAACGGAGGAGGTCAGAGCACAGCTCATCTGACTGCAGTTACATGGAGACAAAGGTTTTTGTTATTGCTGAGCCACCACTAGGTCTTCTCTTGCAGTGGTAAGAAGGGTCAGGGTAGATTTGTTTTTGTACTCATGAGAGCTGTGGGTCTGCAAGAAATCTAAATATTTCATCCTGAAAGCTAGACAACTCTTCATATACCATGCATTTGGAAATGCAATTCATTGGATTGCAATTCTTGCAATTAGTGGACTGGAAAGGACAAATGTGGATTTTTAGCATGAGATAGGCTTGGGTTCAGATTCTGGCTCCTACCGTGTATCATCTAAGTGACCTCGGGGAAACAGGTGCACTTCTCTAGGCCTCAGTTTCTTCATCAGTAAAATGGGATAAATGCTCCTAAAGTCATAATATTGTTGGGAGAATTGTAATAATAAAATACGTAATGCACACAATGCTTACTCATAGAAGGTGATAAAAAATGAGAAATAAATAAAGAAAAGCCCTATGCATTGAATCAGAACTTGAGGGGGGCAATTAGTGAGATGCCCACTCTGCACATGGTGTGAAATGGTACTGGTACTTTTACACTGGGACACAGAAAGCAATCACAACTAATGCAACTAATGGCAAGCTTTATAAATAATGAAATGGGAAGAAAGGTGTTTCTATTCTGTGTTCAGCCTAATTCAGGGGAATTTTTATTGAGGCATTGTAAACTGTAGGAGAGTAAAATATGAGCAAAAACATAATATTTAAGAACACATTTCAATGAATAGCTAAATGAAATTTGAGGTAATTAGAAACACCACATGCTAATTGTTCATGAAGCTTAAATCTGTCCTTAGAAATGTACAAAGTGTAGTGAACAGATTTTCTTATGATGAAAAGATGACTTAAAATGGAATCAAATTAATGCATGACATTGTTTGAATTACCTAAATAAATTCAAAGTTCTTGCTCTTTTTTTTCAGCTGGTTTATAGTTTTTCTAGTCATCATGAACTGCAATTCTTTTAAAAGCCAGTAGTAATTATAAAAATAGTAAACAAGGAATTTTAAAAAATGAACCCAGGAACGAAGGCACATCCTTCTATTTTGTAACAAAATAAATTTAATGATTTGAAATGCTATTGATTATATTGATTGAGAGTGTCGAAATTCATAAACAACCTTGAAAAACTTGGACTTGCTAAACGTCCATTTATGGGTGAGGATTTAACTGTATACATTTCACATTGTGCGTGTTTTATAGGCCTGCTTATGATTGCATGACATCTTGATTCCTAGAGTAGAGTTGTGATTAGAATGAAAGTCTGAAAAGATTAATTAACTAATCTTGGATTAGAAAATTTCAAACTAATTGAACAAGGGAAATAATTCAACTAATCAGCCAAGTCCCAGATTGGTATCATATAGCACAAGATGATAGGCATACTGTAACATGACATAATTATAGCTGAACAATGTCACAGTAAAAACTTCAAAGGCAGGGGGAAAAATCTATCTTTTTTTAAAGTTTAGAGTACATGGTAGGATTTGTGATGACAAAAATCAGTGAATTAGTAGCATGAATATGATTACAGAAAAATATAATGCACACACACCATGTATACTCACACTGATAGAAGACTAGGGAGTGGAAGAATGTGAATGTTAGAGAATAAACATTTGTTCATTCGGGTGCAAGAAGAAACAATTAATTAATACATCCCTTATTAATAAAAAATGGTTGTTTTAATGAAAATGTTTAGTGAATTATAAAGGCTAGGACAACATGAATTGTTATCACCACTAAGCTAGGCAACCCTACACTACATCCCTCTGTGTCACCTACTAAGCCTGTATACCTCCAACAGTAGATGAATGAGCTCACTCCATTCTGTGGTGTACACTGTCAAGGATAGTGAATATGCCTTTGAAGACAATCTGTTATAATTCAAATAAAGGAGAAAAGAAAAGAGGAAGCTTTCTAAATGGTTAAGAATCCTTTCCTACTCCCTGGAGTTAAATAACAAAGGCACGATCTCTTTCTAGGAGGTCCTCACTCAACCATGTCAAGATTAAAATATTAAAATCATTAAGAAATATACATTTTCTTCTACCAGATTGACAATGACCATCATTATAGATTTTTCTCTCAGAATGTGCCTGAAGATTTTCTCTGTTCATTTTTTTTTTTAAATATTTGTCTCAGAATTAGCCAAATTAGGCCGGGCGCATTGGCTCACACCTGTAATCCCAGCACTTTGGGAGGCCAGTGTGGGTGGATCATTTGAAGTCAGGAGTTTGAGACCAGACTGGCCAACATGGTGAAACCCCATCTCTAATAAAAATACAAAAATTAGCTGGGTGGTAGTGGTGCATGCCTGTAATCCCAGCTACTTGGGAGGCTGAGGCAGGAGAATCGCTTGAACCCAGGAGGCAGAGGTTGCGGTGAGCCAAAATCATGCCACTGCACTCCAGCCTGGGTGACAGAGTGAGACCCTGTCTCAAAAAAAAAAAAAAAAAAAAGAAAAAAAAAACTAGCTAAAGTAGCATCAAAATAATCATTTCTTATTTCTAATAACTTTTTAATTATAAATATAGATTAGGGAGAATCATGTGTATTATAATCTAGTCTTACTTCCTAAGATGAGATGGTTGTGTTGTTTTATTTATTCACACTTTTAAAATTTGAAATTTTCAGTAAAATTACAGTTTCTTCATATAAAAATCACATATTTTGTTAAATTTATGTCAAGGTAATTTATATTTTTGTGGCCATAATAAATGGAATCTTTTTATTTCTAACTGTTGATTTTTTATAGGAAGACTATTGAGTTTTGAAATAAACTTTTTATTAACCTTGTTAGATTTTCTGTTCATTTATTTTTTTAAAAGTTTTTCAGATGCCTCTCTTGGGTGTTCTAAGTAGATAAAATTGTCTGAATAATAATAACAATAATAATAATAATGATATTAATTTTGCCTCTACCTTCCCATTTTTCTTTCCCTTTTCTAATTGCATTAGCTAGTGCATCAAAATATTAATTTAAAAAAATGGTAAGATGTTAAAAGTAGACACCCTTGTTTTCTAACAACTATTAAACTACAACTATATAAAAAGCGCAATGTTACTATTTTTGAGAAGAGTCAAAGGATGTGTTTTGCTATTTGGACTGTGTTCCTAGGAAATTAATTGCATAATTGCGTAAGAGGAGAGCTATGAGTTAATAGTTCCAATTATAGATAAAAGCTCTAGGTGAGATAAGGATGAAATATCATGGAAGTTTAGATGAAATAGAGATATGTTCTTCTTGTTAGATTTAAATTTACTTGGTACCAATGGCAGTGATACTGAGCCCTTAAAGGTAGTGTTCTGCAGGGAGCAGGTATAGGAAAACCTACCCCAAAGGCCAAGGGAGCTGAGAGGTCAAAGAAAGAGGCTGGCAAATACAGTTTCTCAAAAAGAGACATTTAATAGGAACTTATGAACAGAACTGATGTCACAGGTAGCCATGAGACCGTGGATCCCCACACCAACCCTCCAGAAAATATCCTTAATATAGCAAGCTATTTTGGTAAAATATGAGCAGTTGGTCATGCCTCAGACTTCTTGCAAAACTGATGACTACTGGGGATTGGATAAGCATCCTTAGAAGGAGTTATCAATGCTATGGGAACACCTTTGCATGCAGGAGTCAAACATTGGTCATCGTGGTGGTTTCACTTCAAGATGGTGTCACTCCTGCCATTCACCAGGCTGTTTTTCTATGGGTAGCATTTGAGGTCCTGGAGTCAGAGTAACTAAAGAGTTGGGAGTTGAATTGCTTATATGTGTAATAGTAACAACAGCTCCATGATGACAAAACTATTAATAGTTAACTTCAGCTTTGGTGTTTAGCATGGGCATACATGAACTCATAATAGTTACATTCTAGAGATCGTAATTTCTCTGTCGGTATGTGCAGGTTTTATTCCTTGACTTATAAGTAGATGTTTCTTATCTAGGCTTTCCATAATTAGAAATATTTATTCATTTGTTTGTTTTTTCTCATTTTTTCCTCTTCACGGAACTATATGGAAATGGAATAAACTTCACTTCCTAAACATCCATGTTACTCCTGGAGGAAGGAACTGCAATTTTTGAAGAGGGGACTTGTTGAAACATGAACAAAAAAATCTCATACAAGAAATTCTTGAGCTGACAAAAGGGAAATAAGTTCATTGAGTGACATAAGCATGCTTAACATAATTGTACATGCAGATGTAACAGATGGATGAGGATAGGAAGTGGGAAGTATAGTGAGTTGAAACTTGTATAGTGAGTTGAGATTTCACTTAAAGCAGGGTCAAGTAGGTGTAGGAGACCACAGATTTTGGTGTTCAAATCTCAGCTTTCTCAATGACCAGTTCATTGACCAAAGTCAAGTTTTTCAATTTCCACACATACACCACCCCCCCTTTCTTTTTTTTTTAACAAAATTAAGAGAACAGAAATAACCCACCTGTCATTTAAAGTTAAAAGAAAAATCATCAAGAACCATATCTATTAAGTATTTTACAGCTAAATCATAAAAATGTAACCACAGCAACGGACATTCTGAGTTACAACACATGTTGGTCTTTATCTGTGGCCCACTGCCATTTAGGAAGACAGCTTTATTTTTAAAAGCTATGATTTTTTCTAAAAGGACATACGGGAACTCGATGCACTCTTCAACAAATAAAAAACCCAAACATCTGGTGTACCAAATGGAGAGGGAGAAGAAAATGGGCTATTTAGGGACGCCATCTTTTAACAGTGCAGGTGTATATTGACAATCATTTGGCTAGAAAAATGCTTTACCAAGCCTGGATCCAGATAGCTGCTTTGAAGGAATTGTAGATAATTGAGAATAGGTTTATAAAGGCTTTGCTCTCCATTCCTAATTATGACATAAAGTTCCTACATACTCGGCTGTTTTACATTTATAGTTCTGCATTTGTAATCTGAGACATGTTAAATCTGCTTTTCTTTACAAGCACTTGATCCATCATAAGTTGAAGGTTACATTGCGGAGGTGATGAAATCCCACATAACACAGTTCCATAAAGAGAGGAGTGAGTTCTTCCTATATAAAGGAGAATAGTCCAGAAGTTGATCAAACTGTTGAACCAAAGAACAAATGAAATAAGTTGGGGCTGAGACCCCATGACTACTTCCTTGCATGGTCTTAAGTAGACTTCATAATATAAGCAGAAAAGGAATGATATGCAGTCCGCCTCTCATTTATAAAGTCATTGAATAACATATTACCATTGTTACACAAATTTCAGATTTACCAAGGAGTTTGACAAGGTGTTACATTTAAAACTCTATTGACTTCTTAATGGGAAATATTTGTCGTAGAATTCAATAAAAAACACATTTATATCAATATTTAATAAAATAAGTGCCAAAGAATGTAAGGACATTAATAAGCATTATCCCTTAAAATAGTTCTGAGATACAATGAATTTATGAAATTCTAGGAATTTCTCAATAGTAGAAATCCTAAGGACCTTTGATATGTTAATGTGCATTACGAATCTCCAATAAAAGAGAAATCTTATGCCGTATTACCCAAAGGTGTTTTATAATACAGCCCTTGTGCAACGACATGTGGGACAAGGGCAGTGAGACTCTTTCTAGCTCCAAGATTCCATACTTTTATAAAATTGATGTAATTCATTTATTAAAAAATAAACTACTGAAGGTCCACTCTGTGTGGAGAACCATATTAGAAGCTGTAGATAGACACAAAGAAGCATAGATTTAGTATTGTACTCTATGAGTTGGCAATCTCTGGAGGAAGGAGGATGATTAGAAAGTAACTTCCTGGAAGACATGGATTTTGGCCTTTTTTTTTTTTAGTTGCTGCTGCTTCCCTAATGAGACTAGTGTCTGACACACAGTAGGAATTTAGGAAGTATTTATTGAGGGAACGGATGACGGCAAGGTTGTGAAAGGACTAGATTACCGTATTAATGTACTTGGACTTCAGCGTTCATTCTACAGGTAACAGGGAGTGATTGAAGGCTCTTGAACAGGAAATATTGAGTGCTCTCCCTTTTCTCAGAAATGATTGTCGAGGAACTGCCTTAGATATTGGCAAGGATGTGTTCAATCTGTACTGCTTTGGTGCTAATAGGATGGTTTAAATAAAGTTTGCATATCTTATAACTACATCTGTAATTATAATTAATATAAGCCAAATTCTCTACATTCATCTTTTACATAAAGGTAAGACCTCAGAAAGATGACTTTATTTTTCAAAGGTCTCGGAATTACAAAGATACCTCAACTCTCCTATAAAATGTTATCCTGTGATGTCCCTGGATATAGTCAGGGGCTTTAATGTGAAGTTGAACTGAATTCAAATCTTAACTCTTCCACTTTCTGCACAATTTTTTCAGTTAATCTTATTCACTAAAATATTTCAATAAGTTAGTTTACCAGGGAATTAAATCTACTGCTTCTATGTTATACTACAAATCCATTTCCCCTGATTGTGTCACTAATGAAGAGCTAATTTTCAGTCTGTTTTCAAGTATTTTCCCACATATATTTATTGTCTTCTTTGCTTTTCTTTCTGTATATCTTAATCATAGACTATATTTATGATATTTTACTGTTCATTTGTCTTTTTCTAGCATATTTGTATTCTAACTTCAATCATTCAATAAGTTCTTGGGCTTACTACAGAGTCATATAGATCCAAGGTTCACAAAAAGATCCAAACTGATACATATATAATGAGAAAAGAATTAACAACTACAGTCACAACCACAAAGCCAAACAAGCAAAGAGAAAAAAAATGAGAAGCAAAGCAAAGGTAAATTTAGTAAATAAACTGTAATACATCCGGCTGTAACAGAAGCACTTTAAGCTGGTCTGATCTGTTGGCATAGACTTACTCAGATAACAAATCATATTCTTAGTGAGATATCCCCAAATTGGATTTGCATCTAACAGACCAAGTAAATATGAAAAGACTGCCAAGTCTCCCCAGCAATCTCATATATTTACATTCTCTGCATTTGGCAATAACAAGGGAGAAAATAGCAGGTATTTCCATCTTTAAGAGGAAATGCAGACCATTCCAAAAGAAAAGTAGAAAGGCTATTTTGATGTACAAAATAGATAATACCTAATATTTACTGCATGCTTATTATATACCATACTTTATGTCATATTATTTGTATTCATGATTTTATTTCAGAATCACAGCAACCCAACGAGTAGATATTATTAACCTCATTTTAATATTTCCAGGGACTGGGACTTAGTAAGTAGCTTGCCTGAGCTTAGTAGGCTGGTCGAGTCATTGAACTAAGATCTGAAGCAGAACTGCCTAAGTCCAAATGACTACACTTGTATATAATTTTTTACCATTATAAACATAATTGTTTTTCTTGGATTTTGAATTTTAAAAAGTTTAGAGAAAGAAGTGTTTAAGAGGAGTGTGACAGAAACAGATACTCAGGCTTTTATCAGTATCTACATAGAATGTGGAAATGGATTCTAGCCAAGTCTGTAAAACAGGGAGTTCAGTTCCCTATACTAAAAACAGGTATTTAAAACAGGAAAATTGCAGTTACTTATTTACCATTTATCTCTGGTGCTTCTTGCTCCTTGTTTCTGCTTGCAACCATCTCTACCCAAGAAAAAACACTTTCTGTTGTTATTGTTTGCTTTGTAAGAAGCTGCAGAAGTTGTCATGCAAATGTGAATTTGTTAGGAGAACTATTCAATAACCACCTAAGCCAGAATATCTTCCGAAAATATTATCAGAAAATCACCTGGAGAGCTTAGTAAAACACAACTTGCTGGACTCCCAACCCCAGAGTTTCTGACCCAGTAGCTCCAGGGTGGTGCCTGATACTCTGCATCTCTAACAAGTTGTCACGTGATGCTAATGCCTCTGGTCCAGAGACCACAATGTAAAAACTGCCTTAAGGTTAGTACCAAGTTGTCTCAGTTGGTCAAGTTCTCTCACTGTAATATTTCTGGCAAATGGTTCCAGGCAAGGTAGCTTCAATTACATCAATTTGATACATGAGAGAAAGAACTAGTTCCCATCTATTACATTTAGGAGACCTAAAAGTTTGGAATGGACTTGAGTCCACTTTCAAGTAGACAGTGGAAGCCTTGAAAGAGAACTCATTGCATCATCGTAGTGGAGAAAGAAGTCTAGGAGAGTGAACCTGTGTTTCACAGGGGCATGGTGCATTCAGCAGCAATGTGACTACTGCCATTAGAGTTTATCCCAAACCAGGAACCCAGTGCATGTTGCAGTCTCTGCTAGAGAGGTGCTGCATTTCATCATTAAAGATCCCTTAGAATACATATGATTTACATTTTTAGACATGAGCCACATTTCTGCTAATCCTTAGTTTAGGGGGGCTTGATACAACAGAAATTTCTTCTCTCACAGTTCTGTTGTGTCTTCCAGTTTCTGGTGGCTGTCAGCATTCCTTGACCTGTGGATATATCACTCTAATCTTAGCCTCTGTGGTCATCTTGCATCCTCCTTTTCTGTCTGTCACATCTCCCTCTGTCTCACTCTTATTAGGATACCTGCCATTGAACTTAGAGCCCACCCGGATAATCCAGAATAAACTCTTCTGCTTAAAATTCTTGACTTAATCACAGCATTTACCATATAAGGTGATATTCATTCTTTTACCATGTAATGTAATTGTATTGGTCAGGTTCTCCAGAGGAAAAAAAACAATAGGATGTGTTATATATAGAAAGGGATTTATTATATGGAAAGATATTTGTTAAAAGGAATTGACCTATATAATAATGGAGCTGGTACGTCCAAAATCTGCAAGGCAGGCCAGCAGACTGGTGACATAGGAGAGCCAAAAATCTAGTTTCTGTCTGAAGGCAGCCCGCTGTAGGACCACGGAGAGCCAATGTTGCAGATAAAGCCTGAAAGCAGGCTGCTAGAGAATTCTCTCTTGCTTGGGAGAGATGAGTCTTCTGTTCTAGTCATACCTCCATCTATTTGGATTAAGTCCACACATATTACGGAGCGCACCCTGCTTTACACTAAGTCCATTGATTTAAATATAAATCTCATCCGAAAACGCCTTCCAAGTTGACACAAAATTTATCATGACAGCAATATTCACAGTTCTGGAGGACAGGACATGGACATATCTTTTAGGAAGCCACCATTCAGCCCACAACATGCCTGTTCAGAATACAGAATGGCAGAGAAAAGGACCTTTCTGTTAAGTAAGCTTCCTATGCAGACTATCACTTGCTTGACATGAGAAGATCCTCTATGTGGCAATAGCTCTTCCAGAATTCCAGCTGGTCCTTTTCCTGAGGAAACTCACATGGTTACTGTAAAGTTCTGCATCTGGTCTACAGATTACAATTGGTCCTCATCATTTCCCAACTGTACTACTTGTTTTAGATTCCTCCCACCTCTGGAGAGCACCAGTACTCATGTATAAAGTCAGGAACTCACCCGCTAGGGTTATTCAGACCCTCATCCTTGGGGGGTCACAGCCAGTGGTCACCATGCTCTTAGGCTGAGGCTGCTGAATGTGCCCATTTTCTGTCAAAATTGAGCAAGGGAGTATCAAGAGTCAAGCCAGTGGATTATGGGGGGGAAAGCCAACATACTCGTACTTGTCACTATTGTGAAACTACTTCTTGCAAACCTACTTATTTTTGATGATAAGAGTCAATCACCTCTGCTGGGATGGAGACTCTTTTCCCTCCCGGCTGATGTTCCAACCATTCTTGGTTGAAATGAATGGGTGACAATCATAGTTTAAAGTTTATGGGACTCTTGCTGTTTCCCCTAGTAAAAGCATTTCCTCTCTGGGAACCAAGGCCTTTAACCTCACAGAGTCCAAGTTTGTGGGGAAGGGAAGCACAAATTGCCTAAGTGGGTCAATGGGTAGGTGGGTAGCAAAGCCACTCCTACTTCCTTATTTGATTTTGACCCATCTGCCACCTTATATGGCAAGTGAAGGTAAGCAAAGCCACCTCTACTTCTTTACTTGATTTTCAGACTTTGTATTTTTTTTTTTGGTGGTGGGGGACGGAGTCTTGCTCTTTCACCCAGGCTGGAGTGCAGTGGCGCAATCTTGGCTCACTGCAAGCTCCGCCTCCCTGGTTCACGCCATTCTCTTGCCTGAGGCCTCCCAAGTAGCTGGGACTACAGGCACCCGCCACCATGCCCGGCTAATTTTTTGTATTTTTAGTAGAGACGGGGTTTCACCATGTTAGCCAGGATGGTCTCGATCTCCTGACCTCATGATCTGCCCGCCTCGGCCTCCTAAAGTGCTACGATTATGGGCGTGAGCCACCATGCCCGGCCCTGGACTTTGTATTTTAACAAATTAGGACACAATGTCATATCGTGGTTGTTGATTTGGGGAGCATACTGCATCTGAAGGATGCCACCTCATCCTTTCTGGGTGTCATCCCTAAGTTCTGCCTCAAGATTACTTTAAAAGCCATTCCATCACTTCGATTATGCTGGCAGCTTCCCGGGGGTTCATGTGATAGAAAAAGTAGATACCATGATTTTATGTCCACTACTACATCTGCTTTGATGAAGTGTCCCCCTTGGTCTGGTGCCATGTTACACAGGATCCACGTCTGTAAGGCCTAAGATAGTGGGGCTGGCTGAATCTCTGCAGGCAAGAAGCAAAGTCATATCTGGAATATGTGTCAGTTTCAGTCAAGATAAATTGCTGCTCCTTTCAGGGTGGAAAGGGTCAAGTTAATCAACTCACAACCAAGTTGCTAATTGATCTCCTAGAGGTGTGGTGCCATATTGGGGGTTCAGTAAGAAGTTTGGACATTCAAAAGCAGCAATAACAAGGTCAACTTTGATGAATGGGGGATAATGCTGTTGAATTTGTGCATAGCTTCCATTTCTGCAATCATGGTTACTCTGTGCATGCACCCAAAGGATCAGCACTGGGTTAGCCAGTGACAGGGGATGACTGATATCCACTGGCTGAACCATTCTGCCTACTAATGGTTTAGTGTTTTTTACATGGTGACCGTCCACTGGTGAACGTGAACGTGCAATATAAAAGTCATCACACTTTTCACCTGTACCTATACCTGTAGGTTTATCCACATCCCTCTAGCCCAGACCTCCTTATCCTAAATTGTCCAATATTGATACTTCCAGGTTCCTGACCAATCAGTCAAATCATTTGCAATGTCTAACGAGTCCATATATAAATTTACAAGAGGTTAGCTTCTCTTCCATACAAGAGAGAAATCAAGGTGCACGGTGTGAGGCGTTCTCTTTTAGAGCATTTTCTTTATCTCTATCTCCATGGCTGACACTGACTATAGCAATAATGTAGCAGTGAGCTGCGTTTTTTTTTTTTCTTAGCTTGCTCTAGCATACCAACTTAACTCATCCTTGAGCCATATTTAGACTTTTTTTCTAAATATGTTGTTAATATCCAATTGACAGTACCTTACTACCCTCATTGAAAAAAATTTTGATTTCTGTACATATGCATTTATATATAAATACAAATAAGTTCATATATATTCTCCACATGTTATGAATGTTTGTATATGCACAAACACAAATACAGCATATCTCAGGAGATTAAACTCATAAATGAATTACTTTCAATATGAAGAACATCAACAGGTAGATTCAGCAACCTCCTTATTGCAATCAATGAGTAATACAAACTTTATATCTAAATGCAGAAAAAACACTTTATATTATTTTATTGTAGTTCTCAAATTAGAAACACTTTGCAGTATAAATAAGATGGTTCATACTCAGGTATCATTATCAAAATATGTGAAGAGATTTCCTAAAATGCAGCTGAACAATGCATCATCCCTGGGTCATAATTTTACTTAAATTAATAATCAGTCATGGCTTCAGTAGTTTTTAATTGTATTTTTCTGGTGAAGAACAGAAAAACTACCTGTTCCATAATTGTAACAACTTCTAAATAGATAGTTCAATTTTAAAATGCATATTGGCATATGAAACATGACACTCTCCAATTGTAAGGAGCTACTAACACTCTTCTCCCACCATCTGAAATCACAGCTACAATTCTGTGTCATTTGTACTTGAGAAATGCTAAGGAAATTTGTGAATTCCCATTAAACTCATTCTCTTATTCTATGGGAAGGAAAATAACTTCAGCTTCAATATTATATTTTGTAATTTGATATATGCTTTAGAGGAGAACATAATTCAGATCATTTCACTGTGTAGCTATACTTTTGGAACGACTGAAATATAGAGTCAATGATCTTAAAACATGCAAATAAGTAAAGAGGGAAACGACTGGCTGGTTGCTCTTAACCCATTCACATTCTGCCCAAAGAACACTAGGGGGCAGCGGAGTGGGCTGGTGAGGAGTGCATGGTGTACTCAATGTATACCTATGGGTGGGAGGAGGTGTAGAAAGAAAAAATGGAGTATTTCAGAAAGAATGCAGAATTATTTTTCTATACTCCTCGATTTTTTAAAAACTCCCTCGTAAATTCTGAGGGCCACCATGAACCATGAATTCCAGCAGAGGAAATTTTAGCAACACAAGCTGAGGAAAGATCAATTGCAAGCAAGGCAAAAGTGTACATTGATCAAGTGTCAAGTGAGATAATACAGTTTAAGAACGACAAACTTACCTCTACCATTTCACACTTCAAATTATCTTTATAAATCCCTAAATTAAAGGAGAAAAACTACATGCATTTACAAGTTACTTCACATGCAACATCCATGGGTGCCAATTACTCTCTTGTTGTCTCTTTCTAATATTATTTTAAAAGGAAATTCTGGCAGATTCTTAATTCTTTCAGTACGCAGTGGTACTGACATTTGGATGATTGACATTGTAAGGAAATCCGTTTGTAGTCATAGACTTGTGATAAACGTCTTAAGATCATTGCACAATGCAGTTACTTTGCTGGACAAACCTTTCAAAACACAGGATCCAAGAAAGAAAATATATTAATAAATAGGATCGCTGAAGTAAAGGAACACGTTTCTAACATTGAGTCACAAGGCCTTTACTAATAATAGAGGAACAATTAGGGGCAATAATCGGGTCAGCTGTTTCTCACTTTTTCTTCTTCTATTGCTTCCCATTCATTCATTCAATACATATTTCTTTGTTGTGCTAGTCAGAGGTATGTGTGGATAAATATAACAGACATGGTTCCTGTGATTTTGGGGATTGTGGTCATTTAGAAATTATAGTTTCTGAGGCTAAAATTTTCATTCATGAGAGGAGATATAATTTAGAGATTAACACCTTTCCTATTACAAAAATCACAGTACATAATCATTCCTCTCCTCATTGGTAACAACTGTACATGAATGCTTCAAACGTTTCTATTTTTTTTAAAAAAAGAGGAGGTGTTAGGAAGAATGAATGTAAGAGAAAGTGGTAACTTATTGTTTCTCCAGAAAGTAAGGAAATGCTAAAAAATCATGTTAATGAGCATATTAAAAGGACAGTGTTGCCAACTTGAAAGAGCCCTGTCTTAGTCCATTGTGTCACTATAACATAACACCACAGCCTGGGTCATTTATAAAGAAATTGATTTCTCATAGTTCTGGAACTGAGAAGTCCAAGGTCCAGACACCAGCAGGTTTCCTTGTGTGATGAGACCAGTTGGTCTGTTTCCAAGATGGCATCCTCCAGAGAAGAGGAAAGCTGTGTTCTCACGTGGCAGAAGGGCTGGAAAGGTAAAAGGGACCAAACGTCCTCATCAAGCCGTTTTACAATAGTGTTAATCAATTCATAAGGGTGGGGCCCTTCTGGCCTAAACCAGGGGTCCCTAACCCATGGAGTGCAAACTAGTACCAGTGTGTGGCTTGTTAGGAACCGGGCCACACAGCAGGAGGTGAGTGGTGAGCAAGTGAGCATTACTGCCTGAGCTCTGCCTCCTGTAAGATTGGGGCAGCATTAGATTCTCATAGGAGCATGAACTCTATGTGCTCCTTATGAGAATCTAAGGCATGATGATCTGAGGTGGGATACTTTCATCTAGAAACAATCCCCCCTCTCCCCTCCCCCCTCTCTTCTTGGCCATCTGTGGAAAAATTGTCTTCCACAAAACCAGTCAGACTGGTCCCTGGTGCCAAAAAGTTTTGGGACCACTGGCCTAAACATTTCCCCAAAGGCCCCACCTTTCAACATTGTTGCATCAGGGGTTAAGTTTCAACACATGAATTTTGGGGGACACATTCAGAGGATGGCAAGCCTCAGCTGTCCCAGTCAAATCTGAGATAATTTGAACATCAAAATAATTATCAGAGAAGCGGATTATAACTCATTATATAAGAATTTATATGAATATAAATCAATAAATACATCAATAGAGAAAAGGAGAACATCTCTTTCCTCAAGTAGAACACTGACATAAATATGCAAACATGAGGTTAGAAAATCATCAATAAAAAGTAAAACTCATGGTGCAAATTTGTTAAGGAACAAGATGTTTACATAGGCTCACAGTATCTCTCAGTAACTTACTTATTAATAACAGGGAATATTAACTTTACAATATAAAGACCTAAGTTGATCCCACATTAATTCAGTCTCCAAATATTACATCACTAATATTTGGATTAACTGACAGCATGCACTTTCTAATAAAATGAGATAAAAAGAAAACATGTTTGATGTATTTCTACTAAAAATGCATAATCTGAATTCAATTATGACAAAACATCAGACAAACCTAATCTGAGTAGCATTCTACAAAATAAAAAAAACAAAGACAGAGGAAGTATTTCAGATTAAAGTTGATTAAAGAGATATTGCTAAACTAAATGCATAATCGTGGCCTTGATCTTGAACTAGTAAAAAAAATGTAGCTATAAAGGACATTATTGAGATGATTGATAAAACCTAAATATGAATGGTACATTAGATAATGGTATTTTATTATTGTTAAATTTCCTGATAATGATAACTGTACTGTGGTTATGTGAGAAAATATTCTTTGTTCTTAGCATATGCAGACTGAAGTATTTAGGGGTAAAGGGACATGATATCTTTAACTTGCTTTCAAATAGTTGAGAAATATGTTTTATCTATCTATCTACCTATCTATGTTTTTATCCAGGGAGACAGTATGAGAGAGAACAGTAAAGCAAGTGGTAAGGCAAAGTGTAAATAAATCGTGAATGGTAATAGTGAATGGTGAAGAGTACATGAGAGTTCCTTTTCTTATTCTTGCAAGTTTTCTGCAAGTTTGAAATTATATCAAAACAGAAAGCTTTATAAAAAAGGAAATAGGTATGAGAATTCTTTGAATAATAAATACATACTTGTAATTTGAAAGTTAGATACAACAGAGAATTTTCTAGGAAGATAGGTAAATAAATATAAATGATCATGGAAATGCAGAGCAACAAAATAGATGGGCCCAGGTGGGTTTTTAAATACTCTTTGTATGTATCAGAATTTCAAGAAATAGATAATCCATAACTTATGCACACTGTTCCAGAGGGCAGAAAAAGAAGAGCTTAGAAACCCCTAAGGTACAAGCCTAGAATAGCCTCAATATTAAACTGAGCCAAGGACCACATAAGAAATGGAGACATTTATTAATTTATTGTATAACCGTAGGTAAAAGAAACACCAACAAAGATAAAATAATTATCAAGTGAATCTGGAGTATGAGAAATGTTCTAGCTCTTGATCTCAGTCTCGGTGGTTCATGGATATATGCGTACATAAAAATGAATTGAGCAGTACACAAGATGTGTGCAATTTACATGCCTACCTGTAAGCAATGTTGCAACTCAATAAAAATGTTTTTAACTGTTCATGTGGCTGGGGGGAATGGTATAATACCCTTGCTTGTGCAATCACTTAATTAAAAAAAACTCTTTCATGATGTTTTAATATGTATTATCTTGTTTTAGATGTTCCATAGGATTCCAAAAGCTTTTATCCTATCCCCTAGCTTATTCCTGTAAAAATCCATTTAATCTTTGCTCACAAGCACTAAATAATCTAAATATACAATCCTAATTGCAGATGTTGAAAGATTGTGAGTAAAAAAATCAACACCATGAAAGATGTTTTTTTTTAACTTACTCAAATGGCATTTTTGGTTTCCCCAAACTTTATTTTCTCTTAGCATTCTCAGTCTTTTATAACTGGCTGTATGGCGTGGCAGTCTTCCAATACACTCAAAAAGCTTGGAGGAGCCATCCAATGTATATTAATCCTCTGTGAAAACAAATAACTTGAGTGCTCGCTCTCTTGCAGCCTCAGCCATTAATGTTGGTGGATGGTTTTGATGGTATAATCTGTGTGTTGCCAACACAAAAGTCTGTTACCTTCTCCTCAGTGCCAATCTTATCTTTATTCCTGTAAATTGATGAAGGAATTTACTCCACTTATTGATGGAGGAATATTACAAAACAACAAATAGTATCTCTGCTTGATTCATACACCAAGACTCTGGGAAAGATCTGGTAACACCAAAGAAAATCTTCATGGTTGGAATGAAGCAAATAAAATGTAGCCAAACAAAGAAAAAAACCAAGAGCCCATTGCTTTCCAGCATTACATCTACTATGATGTATTCTCTGAAAGCCGCCCAAGTATAACTATTTATTTTAACTAAAGTAATCAAGATGAATGTCAGCAGTTATGACACACACTGTTTGCTAAAGAACACATAGAACAATTGCTCAGGGCAAGCTTCATTAAGAAATCAGATAAAATTAGTAAAACTGATTATATTTCAAAACTCAGCAGCAGCTAAAATTGCCATTCAGGAGCTTCCAATTAACACAATTGGTCTTGTTCACAATCAGCTATTGTAATCTCATTAGCTTATTATATTTTAATCATTGTGACATCAGCACAGCAAAACTTATTTTATTTTGCATGGCTAAAGATTGGCTAAATTGGGTGTGTGGCCTACCCAGTCCTAGATGCAAACAGGCCTTTGCAACTTGGCATCTAGCCCATTCTTTGGGGAAATTATCCTGATCAAGAGGCAAATGCACATAGATTTCCCCCTACTCTAGTAGTGAGAAGGCATTTTGGAAACAGTCATCTGATTTAGCATCTAATGATCGGGCTATCAATTATTGAGTCAGCTGACACTGACACTGACTGAAATCATTTTGTAGTAGCATTTGGAGAATTGACAGTTTATGCAGGAAAGAGACAGAGAGAGATTGAAGAGCAAAGAAAAAGGGTGGAAGGGTGGTAGAATTCTCTGCGTACCTGTGTTTAACTACTGTACCTCTTTGTTTGACTACCTTGTTTTATTAACTATGTTCTGAAGATACTGGTCATTGCAGAAATAGAATCTTTTTGTCTTTTAGGTAAGAATAGTCGCATGTACCTAGAAAACTGGTGTTTCGTTGATATCAAGTATTGCCTGCTGCAATGAGATTATGTTCTATTGATGGGAACTGGGGTGTAACAGCCATCTACAGAAAGCAATAGGTTGCCCTATTTTCCGGCTGAAAATGCTGCGTGTTTTATGAACTGCCTCTATCTTGCACACCAGGGATGTTTCTGTAGCTAAAGCCATAATAGGATTTTCCTAAATGATACGAAAATACAAATATTCTGACCAACCAGCTTGCAGAGGTTGCTTATTCTCCAGCAAGTTTTAATACTGCATTTTTTTTGCCTCCATCTTTCAAGAACATTTTTGATTTCACTTTTCTGTTATGAGTGCTTTCTATAAAGGCATCACTGATCACTAATTGTATTCTGCGAAAAGGAAAACAACAGAGGCAGTGCGCCAATATACGTGCAAATCCTTGTTCTTGGCAGGACCCTGTATAACTGGAAAGATATGAAGAGGTAAATATTCCTAGATGTGCACACTGGGAAATTCAGAAAGCCTTCCGTGGTCTCAAAACCCTGCTATGCTTTTTTGAGTAGTTGAGACTAATTCAATCTTTAAAAAGCAGCCACTCAGCTCCTGATATTTTAATGTCCATAAATAAATAAATGAGAAAAAGTGCCCTTATAAATCCCAGGAGAGAAAGTTAAATGAAAATGGAAGATGGAGTCCTTCTGTGACTATCATATTACCATACCTAAGCACTAAAAAGGTGAACGTTCATCATTATTAAAATCATTCAATTTGTGTCTTTAATTATAACTTTTGGGGGCATGAATGGCTCCAGAGAAATTAGTCTTCTATTTGCTCCATGAAAGAATTTAATAAGTAATACATTGTGTTAACTGATTTTTAAAAATCCATTTAATTTTTCCCTGAATTCTATTTTAGGATGATGAGTTCTGATATCATAGAAATTTTTGTCCAGTATCTCTTGCTTAGACAGTCACACATTTTTGTTTCTTAAAACACAAGGTCCTGGACTTTGGATATTTACGATTTAACTTATAAATTGCTTGTCAGTTTTTCATAATTTGAGCCATAGCCTACTTAGCCATGTATTAACCAGCCGCAGTCTCAGATTCCCTTTATGAAAATCCACTCAAATTGTGTGAATGATGGTCCCAGGTTGCCTTCAAGCCATTGTCTTCATTTCCAATGGTGACACTTGCATATTTAGAGCTGCTCAGGTTGTACAATCAATAAATCTCATCTCCCCTGTCGATGACTGATTTGCAGATTGATCCCCATGTGATATGGGATCAGCATGGGCTTCATGACAAAAAGAACTTCTCATAATCCTTCATGTCTATTCTGATGACAATAGATAATTACGTTGAATTCTCACGTGCAACAACACTTACAAACCACTTTTCAGAATGTGGTTTTGTAAGTAAATCCTGAAATTCCTTAACGAAATGCAAATGGGGAGCAGGATTTGAAGATTCAGCATCATTTTACAATTTCGAATAAAGAAGTATTTTTGTAGGGAGATGATAAGTGTACATATCAGTATATGTGTACATATATACACATTTATATCTACATTTAGAGAAAGTTAAATATGCAATATATAACTTTCTATATTTACACACATATGCACACACACATATATACATGTTATTTAGTGATCATTTGCTACATATAAAAACATTGACTTTGAATACTTAGAATAAAAAATATTATTATTATCATTACCTACCATTAATTCAGTGCTTTTGGTGGGTAAAATCTATTCAGTTCAACACCTACGTTTTATTTCTAAGCATTATGTTTGGTGCATGGCATTGCAGACTTTATAAAAGTACCACAGGCAGATAATTTAAAAATCATATTATAATATTTTCAGTTGTTTTGTTACTCTTCATTGATGTTGCTGCAGATAACTTTCTTTAAATCATGTCTTACATGGGTAATCCTATCTAAAACTGATGAAAGCAAAGTTTCCACATTTGAAGAGAGGTCAGACTCAGAATTCCATTTACTTCTCTCTGTCATTGTCACATGCTATGGAGCCTGAACGAAATGAACAACTCAGCACAGTTTGAAAATCACCGTAATACCATCAACTTAATGATGACGCTATCATGATGACGTTTAAAGACGCTGAAAGAGAACAGGAAAATAAGATATTTAGTCTAAACAAAGGTTTCCATGGACACTGCCCAGTGGAGATGATTATCTCATTGGAGTGGGAGTGGGAGTTAACCTGAAGCGTAAATGGAGGTTTTTATCGAAGGCCAACAGAACAATAGGAGGAAAGGTATGGAAGGATGAAACACATGGGGGCAGGAAATGATCAGAGCATTAAACAGGTGATGGAAGGTAGCAAAACATGAAAGAAGAGGGGGTTAATTTGGGATCAAGGATGGTATTGAACACAATACTAAATAATTAAACTGTAGCCTGTAGGAATGGGTGCTATGATGAATATTTTTAGGCAGCGATACGGCTGCAACGCGGAGAATTAATTTAATGGGGTTAAGAGAAGACAGGTGAGCTGGATGCTTCCGTGCATATCAGAAGCTCTGAGGTCTGCATCCCTCCCTTAAAATCCCTAAGGTATGAGTCATTAAGCCACTCCTGCTGGGTTTAGTGACTAAGAAAGAGTCAGTAAACCTCTCCAAGTGCGGACATCCAGAAATAGCTCATTTGTTTATTCATTCAATTAAAATCCAATTATTCTTTTGTTCATTAAAGGAACATTTACCTAGTAGCCATGATGCACCATTTTGGTAGTCTCTGGGTCATGGACCATTGCAAGGTTTAATCTGAACAGCAGGGTACCTTTTTATCATACGGATTAATATTACCGGATACTTTTTAATAATTTCTGGCCACTGCGTGCAGAAGGTTGTAAGTGGGGTAGGCAGCCCTGGAAGTTTCTTTAGGTTGAATCCTGTTGCACCTCCAGGAACCACGTGAAAGGACTCTAGCATTCGCTCACTCCCCAGTTTTCTTTGAATGGACAGTGCTGACCACTTCTGGCACCTCCTCCCCTCTCTTATTCTCCCAGCGTTTGACATTAGTGCTCATTTTACTGTTTTCATCTTTTATGCCGAGGTTTCTCAACCACTACTAGCATTTGAGGCTGAATAATTGTTGGGCTGGGGCTGTTCTGTGCGTTGCAGGATGCTTGGCAGCATCCCTAGCTTCTACTCATTAGATGCCAGGAATCCACTCCTCCCCATCAGTCCCCCAGTCGCGGCAATCAAAAACAATCCCAGACATTGCCAAATGTTCCCTGGAGGAGAGAAAGGAACCACCTCTGATTAAGGACAGTGATATTTCCTATAAAACACGATTCAAGGTTTTCCTCCACTTACATGACCTAAGGTCATTGTAGGTAAACACCTATTCTCATTCATTGTAACTTTTATCTATCTACCTCCCAGGAGGAGCACACGCTAGCCACAAGTAGGATTTGTGCATAATCCCTTTACAACACATACACTGCCATGGCTATGAAAGTCCTTTTAAAAAATCATTTCATTGGAAACCAGAGAAGAGTGAGCTAGTCTCTTGAATCAAATCACATAATGTGGCTATATTCTTGTAACTAGTATGTGGCTGACCTTGAACCGCCCCATAAGTGAATCAAGATGCTGTAGTTTGCCATGTGTCAACGAGTTGTTATCATCAGTAAACAGGACGACAGCATGTCTGAGACTCTACAGATTATGGAAGAGCTCTTTTTTTTTTTTTTTTTTTTTGTCCTTTGTTAACAAACCCAAAGTTAGGCAAATGCTAAGCTCTCAAAGTATAGAGCATTTTAATAATTTGCTTTGGCAGTTGGGGCCATCATTCCATTTCAAAAATCTACCTCTGCTCGGCTTGGCAGGGTTATTTGGACTCCGGGATGTGTGCTAATATCTGCAGGAGGAAGCAGAGATACTAATAAGGACTCGCCTTGATTCCCCTTCCTTTCATCTCCCACAACTAAAACTATGTATTTTTTTCCTCGGGAAAACAAAATTAATTTTGAGTTTTTCAAAAATCTTGGCATGTACAATAATACAACAGAACCCCAATTTTGGCACTGCTGTGATTGCATTCCCTAGTTAAGCACCCTAGATATCAATACTTAATGGTATTCTCTAAGCTCAGCCAGTGAAGAAAATAGGGTTGTTATCTATCAAAGCACATTTTAGTTTCTGACAAGTAAAAAGCAGCATGGGGAATGCAGGAAGGCTGAAATGAAAGCCTAAAAGAAAACTCATATAACATCTGGTGTCCTTTATCCCCTGATGGCCTTTCATAGGATGATATGATGAGCTCGTTCTGATTTAAGACCTGATGATTTGGTTTGAGAAAACAGGAGGAGGGGGCTAGATGCAGCCAGGCTGGCAGCAAATTGGGATACAAAAATCTGCTCAAATAATTGGAAACACGACAGATTTTTTTTTTTGTAACTGATGCCAGTGGCATCTTAGTTTATCCATCTCTCTCAGTTGAATTTGTAAAGTGCATTATCTTATTGGTTTTAAAGTTTCCATCTCACTTATTTGCAGACGGAAATGTGAGCAAATCAGTCATGATGGATTGCCTAATTTTCTGGGCTGAATAAACCAGTTTTATGAGATTGTTGATTCCTAGATTATTAGTTAACAGAAACATTGATCAAGTTTTAACCTAAAAAAAAAAAAAAAAGCTTATCAGACTATTGCATTTAAACTGTTTCCTTATCGTTACATTTCCTTATTTTTACAATACTTATAGTATTGATAATGAATACGCTCATTAAAAAATTTAGAGAGCGTCTCATAGAGGGTTTTTCCTTTGCTTTTTGTATTTTCAATCCAAATGCTAAAACTGGGCTGAGCCACAGATGTCAGAAGATTAGTAATTACTCTGCCAGAAATCATCTCTGATCAAAAAGCCAGAGGAGGCCAGGCGCAGTGGCTCACGCCTGTAATCCCAGCACTTTGGGAGGCCGAGGTGGGCAGATCACCTGAGGTCAGGAGTTTGAGACCAGCCTGACCAACATGGCGAAACCCCATCTCTACTAAAAATACAAAAATTAGCCAGGTGTGGTGTCACGTGCCTCTAATCCCAGCTACTCAGTAGGCTGAGGCAGGAGAATCGCTTGAACCCAGGGGGCGGAGGTTGCAGTGAGCCGAGATCGTGCCATCGCACTCCAGCCTGGGCAACAAGAGCGAAACTCTATCTCAAAAAAAAAAAAAAAAAAAAAGGAAGGAAGAAAGAAAAAAAAAAAGCCAGAGGGAGGGGCGGAGAAAAACCATTCCCTACCTAGAAAATATAGGTCCAATTTAATCCGTTGCAGATTTCTTACTGCTTCACTTACAAAAGCTGGGAAATAAGGAAAACCAAATACTATAGAGCCATATTTTTTAAATTAAATGAATCATTTAAGGTTCATTGGCTGTGGAAGTATATGTGGTAATTAACAAGGAGAAGAATTTTTATTTGTTAATCAGAACCTTTTGACAAGGGGTTGCCTGCATGGATGCTCCAAATTTTAATGTTCCAATAAAAGCAATAAGGATCCAATAAAAATCCACCCCTTTATCATGTTTTTCTTCAAATTTGAAGTACAATCACAAAAATAAAATCATTTTGTGCTTTGTTATTTTAAAACTAAGAGTTGTAATAACCATGCCATGGGGGCTTGGGAGTGATTAACATAAATTCAGGCATCATCTTGTGAGTTTTTTTCTTTCTTTCTTTTATTTTCTGTCCGACCTTTTTTATGGTTGCGTCTTAGTGAATATAAACTTTTCCTAGTTAGAATTGCAAGTGAAAGAAGTAGTTTCTTTGCAAAAGGAAAGAAGGGAGTTAAAAACTTTTATGCAAGTAGACTTTACTGTGAAATGTTATCTTTTGTTAGTTCAAAGGTTCCCAAAGATATAAATTCTTCAGAACTGCCCTGAGGTGCTAGGGATGTAAATTGAATACTTTACAATTTGTAGACTGTTCCTGCAGTAATGTGTATCTCCTCTGTGAGTGAGTGTTTGGGGATTTTTCAATTACTGGAGTCTGAAAACTCAGAGATTCTTTAGGGCAGAAAAAAGGCTCTTCTCAAAGTTGAGTCACTGATGTTCAAATTAGCTGCCAAAAGCACTATAATGATCTGTGTTCCAGATTTTGCTAAACAGGGAAAAATGGCCCATTTTTGTCAGGGGGAAAATAACCTCCTCTAAACGCATCCATGAATAACTGCAGGATGGGTTATGCGATAGTTTGAAAGTGAAATGTATTGTTGATATGTGCTGTATATAATAGACTGATGTTGTTTCTAAAAGACTCAAATGAGCTTCTTCATATTTTTTTTAGGATGGTAGCTTAAGTATGGCCTTTAGGCTTACTGTTAACAGATTTTTACAAAATAATAAATGAATACAATGATAAAATGATATATGTGCATTTAAAATTAGGCATATTTCAGAATTCCATATAATGCAGCAAGCTCAAAATAAAGGAGTGACTAACTGAAAATTATAATTTTTAAATTTTCATCTCATTCTGCCAACTTTTTCTTAAAATGTGTGTCTTGCTCCCATCCCCAAATTAATGCAATTTACTGGATTATATTTCCAATTTCTTCTTATGGAAGAGCTGCTAAGCACTAGTGAAATAATACTAAAGAGTTAGCTTGGAGGAAAAGTCACCAAAAAATGAACAAAAGAAATAGCTTAACACTGGTACCTTCCAGCCCACTGGATCATAATGAATTGTAAGCAAAGGCAGTCTGAATTAGAGAAACATCTATTATGAGATTTTTAACCAGACAAAAATCTGTTACCAAGTAGTCATCTTCTTTTTTTTCTAAATGGGTTATCTATTTCAATTAATATATCTAAAAGGATTTATTGTTGTGCAATTTTAAATTCAAATACATGGTTCCATATTGTTTAAGCAGCTTGTTCTCTTAACTAGGTCAGCTATTCTTATGTTGTCATTTCATGCAAACTGTTTTTGAAAGAAAAAAACAACCACAAATAAAGCATTCTTTAAGTGATAGATCTATACCTTTGTTCCTGTCAGATTCTCAGTAAAACAATCATACTGAGAAGATTGAGTTTTATTCTACCAGAAAGGAAGAGATAATTTTTTTAAGGTTTCATGAACACACAACCTCATAGAACGTTTGATTTAATGGTTATTTTCTGACTCTGCTTTTTAAGGAGTAAGAGATAAAAGGTAAGAAATAAAAAGACAAAGCTAAAATGCAATTAGGTTCAACTCTGAGAACTTATTAAGTCAGAGAGGTGAATTAAAACTTTTCCATTTCTAGTTACTAAACATTTACTGAGAAACTACTATGCTTGAGGCAATAAACTACATGGGAGAGATATAAACCTAAAAATTGATCTTTGGCTGTTTAACCCCAAGGATTTTACTATGAATAAAATATGCTATACAGAACTAAGAAACAAATAAAGCAATTGATGCTGAAAAAACAAACAAAAAATAATGTAGTCTTGGGAACTCGGCAAGGCTTCTCAAGGAGGAAGGGATGCGCAGGTTGCCCATTGATGAAGAATAAGAAGGCAAAAAAGAACGCAAGGGTAGAGTCCTCAGGATAGAAAGACTGGCATAAACAAAGGCATGGAGGTGTGAAATTGCACAATGTTTGTAGGGAACTACTACATTTCAGTTACCCAGAGGACAGACTACAAGTTGAAGAGTTGAAAGAAGCAAGGTTGCAGGAACAGGCAAGGCCGGGCATGGAGAAGATGTTTTATGCCATGCTAAACTCTCAAATTTTCATTGCTTGCATATTTACGGCCTCAGTAAGTTTCTGATATACATCTTAGTCAGAAGAGTAAGGTTCTTGCAGTAGCCCAGGGTCATGATTTGATGAGATATTACCGTTTTATAGTAAATTAGTAGATGAGATTGATTTTGTTTTAATTTGGTTGGATTGGCATTTTTTAACAATCACTATAGCTTTCTAAGTGCATTCAAAGTTTTGAAAGCCAGTTGAACAAAAGTCGGCTTGCCAAAAGGCTATTTACTGAATATGTGATAAACCAAATGACCAGTTCGCCAACAGCCAATTCATCAGTTTACTGAGTGAGTCATTTTATTGAACTTTCCACATATGTTCAAGGATATGAAGAAGAAAACACGCATGGACCTGAGCGTTCCATAAACACAGTACTCTTTGAAATGAATATTCCAAGAAAAAGTAGTGCTGAAAGTAAACACTTGAGAAATTGAAGGAAAAAAAATGCCTCCACATGTCAAATTGTCTTGGGGCCAAAAAACATTATTAAACCATACATGCATTTCTCATATTGACCAATAGTCATGTAAATTTTGTAGACTGTTCTGTGGACAGAATTTGGCCTAATATTTTATTATAATTTGACAACTCTGGCTTTCCATTTAATGATGAAAAGTTCAAAGAACAAAATAAAAGAGATAGGTAGTTTCTACCACACACAAAAGAAATATTTTAAAAATTTTAACTTTTTTGAATACAAAATGATCATGGTGGACTTTTAATTGATGAAAAATTATTAAAATCAATTTTCACTTTGCTAACTGATCCGTTACATCTATACATCAACACAATTCACTTTAGAAAATTATTCATAAGGAATATATGTATCATTTGTAATACGACTATATATGCACAATAAAATCACAGTGGTGAACCAGTAATTCATTTACTGCGTTCGTAAAACACCTTCTTAGCATATTTCTTATGTCAAGGGCACCCTATGTTGTTCCGAAGTTATTTTAGAATTTTTAAAACCACAAAACATTTCCCATCCTCTGAGATTTGGTCTGCAGTGGGTAGACCATCCCCGGCCTGTCAACACATCGCGCCAGGCCAAGCCAGAGTCTGGGTAGGCCGGTGGCAGATGCGCGGGGCTGCCCGCTTTCCTGGAAATGCCGGCGTCTTTCTCCGCTGTTGGTCGCCTGACTACAAAGATGACACAAGCAGCGGTGGCACTCGTGCTTCCTGGCAAGGCTCCCATTTCTTGGCTTCAGTCTCTGCTCACACGCAGCCGGCCCCGGTCACTCCGCACAGTTTTTCAATGTAACCAACAGGCCGCGGCTCACCTTGAGCTCATTAGCGCACGCAGGCGACTTTCCAGCCGCGCGGCAAATGGAGCCCCAGCGTCCTCGGAGGGAAGGAGGAGGAGAGGCGGAGAAGGATGGGAGCCGGCAGAGGAACCGCAAGGCCCGGGTGCTCAAGGCCTTGTAGTGCGGGTGGGGGTTCTCTCCGCCCCGCCCGCTGCCACGGCCCTGCTCTCCGCCAGTTCTCAGCCTCCCCACCCATCCCAGGGCGCGCCCCCACCCTGCGCTCGCTGGGCACCCTGCCTCCCAGTGAAGTCAGCAGTAGGCAATGACAGGGAAAGAGCTTATCTATCTGTGAGGAAAGAAGCCACGTTGATGGTTCCCTAGTGGATGTAATTGTGCTCATTACTGCCCATTTACATTTCATCACTCGATTATCACAAATGCCTCATTACTGTTGAAAAGGGTTTGCTGGTGAACTCCTTGCTGACTATTCATCCCTCAGCTCGGATGTCACCAGGCAGGCTGATTGGAAAAGGAGGAGGGCGAGGAGGAGCCGAAGAGGGGCGAAGGTGAAAAAGGTCTTCTATCCGATTTGATTAAAGGCCGTGATTTAAATCGATATTTAATAAAGTGGCTGCTACCACATAACACGGGCAATTCCCCATGCAGTCAGCATGGTGATTAGAGGCCCCTCACTGCCTGCTACATAACTCAATTGGGTTTTGTGCACTGGTCTGGCACCTGTGTCCCTCAGAACTGCGCCTCCAATGTAATAGGTTTATGAGCCGATGAACAGAGGTGATAGGTTCTAAATGGATTAACTAGGTGTCTGCAGTCTGGTGATGAATACATCAGGCAAAAAAAAAAAAGTCTGCATAAGCAGGAGAGTGATAGGAAGTGTTGACAGACACTGTGTGTGTCACGAGCCCCACAGGGTAAACACTGGCTCGGTGCCTGTCATTCAAGTGCTTTCTCAGAGTAATGGGTGAAGATATCAGGCCCGGCTGCTTAACAAGCCTGCAGGTGCCAGGGCACCAAGGCCTGCTGCTGAAAAAGGCTTCCACAGGGCACGCCTCACCCACCAGCTACAGCCAGCTTAAGAATATGCCTCTGAGATGATATTCTTTTCTGTCTCAAAATAGATTGGAATTCCTGGGCTAACTGATTTGTGCTACCTGCCTGGAGCATGGTGTTAAGAAAGAGTCTGAGGTTATATCCAGATTCAGTGGGAAAACATTAAATAGCACTAAAGTGCTGTGGACACAGCAGAGAGGAGTGAGTGGGGTATGATTTCTGCATAGTTGTCATCCCTTCACCCTCATTAGATGCCTGTAATAGCAAGATTCGTGTATCCCATGGTTTCAATATAATAATGCAAATACTCATATACATGCATAGTTGAAAGGGACTCAAATTCAAATCCAATTTAATAATCCTTCTCAGGTGTTCATAAACAAGAGTATGGTATAGTTGAGTTTTATCAGAAATTTCCGGTACTCCTAAACTTTTTGAAATAAGACCAAAATAACGCATTTTTAAGATGGGATATGGCTGGTATAAATTACATTGCAACCTTCCTACCCCAGAATTAGCAAGCTATAAATTAGGGAAACAGTGCCATTCTTGAAAAAAAAAGGGGGTGGGGAATCTGACCTAAAGTTATCATGTAAAAAGCAATTATTTATGTTGAGAGTTTAATAATTAATGATTCAGTAAATGCAGTCGAAACATACATTGACATACACAGCAGTGAATGGTCGTGACTTTTGTAGAGTTTTAGGGAGAAAATCCTGAAAAAAGAATCAACTTTCTCTCATTTGGTGAAACTACGAAATGCAGGATGTATAATAATTTAAAAATAATTGCTGAGGAATCTATTGTAAATTTGGTCCCAATGTGATCTGAAAATAAATTTTTGATTTTAAAATCAAAATAAAATATGTAATTTAAAATTGACCTCACGAATTTGGAGGAGGCTTTAGGTCCAATGTGGTCTTATGGGGAGGCACTATTAATGGTTTTCTGATACAACTGAGTTCCATCAATTGCTATCTCAGCCACTTTTAATTTTGTGATTTATATTTCCCACAAACTCCAAAATACAAATGGGTGCCAATGAAACTATAAAGAGCTGTAAAATCTATGTTTTCAGTATCTGTGCAGGAGATGCTGAGGGAGAAAATACAATATCTTTACAACCTAAGAATTCAAAAATAACCAATAGATGCTTATGAAAACTGTCTGTGACCCAGTCTGAGAACAGCTGCTGGCGTGGGGAGGAGTACACGCTCCAGTGGTGGGTGAATTCAAAGGATCTGAAATGTCTTGAGCAGACTGGGCCAACAAGGCCCTGGCAACTTCTCACAGCGAACCAGCCAAACCTCCCTCCCTGGAAAAGAATCCCACATTGAGAAGAAATTGCTGGAAATAAAATTGAAATGTAGCAAGACAAGGACAATAGGAATAAAGGAAAAATAATATTCCAGTAAAACGATGCAGTGCATATGTGTGAATGAGTAGAGAAGGAAAAGGGACTAAGGAGATTTCAGAAAGCAAAGTATCATATCTTTAAACATTTCACAAGGACCACAGAAGAGAGTTCAAGAGCTATCCTGGAAGTTCCTTAGAAGTTAGTAAAGCTATTCTTGGCTGGGCACGGTGGCTCATGCCTGTAATCCTGGCACTTTGGGAGGCTGAGATGGATGGATCACCTGAAGTCAGAAGTTTGAGACCAGCCTGGCCAACATCGTGAAACCCCATCTCTACTAAAAATACAAAAAAATTAGCCGGGCGTGGTGGCACTCGCCTGTAGTCCCAGCTACTTGGGAGGCTGAGGCAGGAGAATCACTTCAACCCAGGAGGCAGAGGTTATAGTGAGCCAAGATTATGCAACTGCACTCCAGCCTGGGTGACAGAGTGAGACTCCATCTCAAAAACAAACAAACAAACAAAACCAAAACAACCCAAGAAGTTAGTAAAGCTATTCTAAATCAAATTTACCTCCTAAAAATGAAGGAAAATAAATTTTTGTAAAAATTAGCAATATAAAACAATTAATATCAATCCCATGCAATGTCATCTTTAAAAAAAAAAGAGATTAAATATCAGGATAGCACTTCTGCAGGCAACAGTCTTCTAGAAAGGCATGCCCACAAAAAGAGAAAAGCTATCTTCAAATATTTCTAACAAGAAACAAAAACAACAAAAAACCCAAACTAAAAACTAAAAAGTATTAAGAAAATGATTCAAGTTATTAAGCAGTAGCACAAATTAGAACTAGAAAAAAACTCAGAAATGAGGTGCTAAAATTCCAAAAAGAATTAAACGAAAATGTTTTTTCAGAAATGAACATAAACAAGAACACATGTAATGGTAAACAAATTCAAGAGATAATGACTTAAAATTATATAAAAGAAAAGAGAAAAAAGATTTTAAAGCAAAAAGAATGAGAATGATTAAAAAGATTGGAGAAAAAATGACACATATAAAGACCAGTCAATCAAGAATTCAACATACATATAATGAAAGTCCCTAGAAAAAGAAAACCGAAGCTAGGAAGCAGAACAACTATAAGATCACAATTCTGGAAACTTTTCAGAAAGGAAAAAGATTCCAAACTACAGATTAAAGAGGCATACAGCATACCTGGAAAAATAAACCCAGAATTAACAAAACTGACACATTCAGTAAAAGTATCGTACCGGTAAAAACCACTGGTCATCAAAGAAAAATAAAATCAAAACACCTCTTGGTGTTTTAGTAATTTATAAAACAAAGAAGACCAGATTGTCATCAGACTTTCAGCATCAGTTTATGCCAGAAGAAAATAGAATATTAATTACAAGTTAGCCAAAAAAAGAAAATATGAATGAAGGATTTGATATCCAGGCAAATTGACTTCTCCACATAAAGACCATAGATAAATTGATGTCACATGAAAGAACTCAAACAAATTGTTCCTATAGCCTTTCTGTAGTAAATTCTTATAATTTCGTGTTCCTCTGATATTCATTTTAAATAGAAGTTAGACTTTGTCTTACCAGATGCGGGCCTCAGTCACCCTTGACAGTTTCCAGTTCTCTGCCTCCTCCCAGTTCTTCAATGTGGTTAATCCAGATAACTGCCTTATACAACCACCTCCTGGTGACCACCTGTCTATGGGAGAGCTAGATACAACCCACTTCACCTGCCTGCTGACCTCCACCCCCTACATGGACTATGCAGATGTACCACACAGACCACCTCTGAGTCACTGTGCAACTCCACATGCATGCTTGCGATGAACCCACCAATTAGAACTCCCCATGGGAAACCTGCTTGGGGAATGCCTTAGATCCTAATACAGCCTTTGGCCCACAGATCCCTCGCTCTCTCTTTCTCTTTCCCTTTCCTCCCACTGGCTGAGTGTGCATGTCTCACATGGCAGCTTCCCCTTCCTGTTGTTGGCCCTACGAGGTGTGACACCTCTTGGCTCTGTGACCTGTAAGTAGTAGAATTGCTTCTATTACTTCGTGTGTTTTGCCATGCTCCCTCTCCTGTTTCTCGTCTGACTGACACACTTGTGCCTAACTCTCCTCCTGCTCAGGGCTCTCCTACTGAGTGGCTATCTTGGTAGAAATAAACTGGACACAGGTCAGACAAGAGCACAAAGACATCTGCCAGTGTCATCAATTTTCTTGTGAGAGGGACACCTGGTCACACATAGGACACTTAGGCATTGAGTCATCCAGGAAGATAAAGAAATACCCCAAGAAAGACACAAGACACACTGTAAACACCGATGATCAAATCCCTGGAGTCCCATGAGGGCAGGGCCAGAGTTTACAGTCACTTTAAGGGGAGAGCTCAAGACCAAAGTAGAGGAAAAAATGAACAGATTCCTTAGAAATAAATTAGAAAACAAGCTTCAGACAACCAATATGACTATAGAGACATCAACATAAAAAAAGTTTGTAAACATTAAATATACATTTACCTACAAAATTGAAAGTAAGTGAGATTTATGAGAGATTGATTATAGTAACTAAGAGCTATATTATACAGATAATAAAACTACAAATTATACAGAAAGAATCGCAAAAATGTTTAACTGTTTTCAGTAATCATTGTTGGTTGTAGTGCTGGTATCTTATTTTGATAGTGTTTTATGTAGTAACATGATTCTATCATCTCTACCATATTAAGAATCAATATGGTGAGGAAATAAAGAGCTACAGTTATAAGATAGAAGAGGTTAGATAAACATGCTATGGTTCTCAATTCTAAGTGGAGGGATCTGCATGAAAACATAATTGTGTTCTCTCATAAGTAACTCTTATAGTTATAATTCGGAGTTCTAAGTGGAAATATGTGGGTATATTTGCAAACACACACTTTCAAATTCAAATTTGAAGTCGCAATTATAAGGTGTTCACTGAAAAGAACTTTCGGGCCAGAAGAGAAGCAGTAAACTTCACATCCCCAGTGCTCATTTCACATGGGCTTCTTGGAGAAATGACTGATTGCAAGTCTGAGGCAAGAAATGTACAAGTTGAGGAGCTTGGGACACATTATTTTACTAGATAAAAGGAAGTTATCAGAGATTATGAAAAGGATGTGGGAGCCTATTGTGTAAGAAATTTTGGACAAAATTTGGACAAATTAACTACCAATAGGAATGATAACAGCAATAAGTAGAGACAAATCATATGTTAAATATATGAATTTATAATCACACAGATGCACAAGAACACACCCATACACATGCAACAAATAGACAAAAAAATAGTGAGATGTGAGTTTTGGAGGATGCTAGATGTCTTAGTCCGTTTTGTGTTGCTACAACAGAGTACCTGAGACTGGGTAATTTATAAAGACCAGAAATTTATTTGGCTCTTTTTTGGAGGCTGGGAAGTCTAAGACTGGGCAGTCCATCCGGTGAGGTTGTCATGCTGCTGTAACTCATAGTGAAAAGTATAAGGAGGTACAGGTGTGTGCAAAGCCATCACATAGTGAGAGAGGAAGCAAAAGAGTCTGGGAAGCCAAACTCACTTTTATAACAACCCACATTTGATGTCCACCTGTTGTAGATTTGCATCCTGACCTAGTCACTTTCTAGCTGTGTGACCTAGGACAATTTACGTAATTTCTTAGTTAAATTTTTCTCAACTCTATAATAGAATGAATAATATTCTAATAAGATTGTCAGGAGAATTAAATAGTCTATATATGATATTGTTGCACAGTACATGATACTTTGTCATATTTATTAAATGTTAGGGATTATTTGTAACTAATTAGTTATGTTCACTTGGTTAGCATCATGAATACACAACTCTGGTATATTAAGAGTATTGGCCATAGGGCTGGCATGTCTGCTGGTAATAGTTACAACCAAGGAGTAGAAGGGATTATCCTAGGAGAAGGAAGAGAGTAAAACAGCAGTGAACCAAGGAGAAGACACTGAAGACTATCAACAATACAGTAATAGAGAAGGAAGTGGAGTCTACCTAAAGATTAGTAAGTGCAGTCAGAGAGTTCAGAGGAGTGTGGGAAGGTAATAGTGTTGTAGATATTAAGTCAGGCTCCTAAATTTTTTTCTGAAATCCTCTTCTCAGAATAAGACTCTCATGTACAGAGGTGCAGGTGAGCCCTGCACAACTCTGTGGAGGGCTATCTTATGTGTCTGGAGCCCTTGGAGTGGATAGGCACCAATCTTGCACTGCCATAGACAGGCTACCATAACTCCACAAGCGCTCAGAGTCTGCAGAATTATTTTCACTTGCAGCAGTATATTATGTGCACAAATGTTTTCTCTTTCTTGAATACCCTCTTTTATTCTTCCCATATGATATGGTTTGGCTCTGTGTCCCCATACAAATCTCATCTTGAATTATAATCTGGATTACAATCCCCATGTATTAAGGTAGGGACCTTGTGGGAGGCGATTGGATTGGGAGGGTGGTTTCCCCCATGCTGTTCTTGTGATAGTGAGTGAGTTCTCATGAGATCAGATGGTTTTAAAAGGGGCACTTCCTCCTTTGCTCTCTCTCCTGCCTCCAGGTAAGACATGCCTTGCTTCCCCTTCGCACCTTACCCATGATTGTAAGTTTCCTGAGGTCTCCCCTGGCCATGCAGAACTGTGAGTCAGTTAAACCTCTTTTCTTCATAAATTACCCAGTCTCAGGTAGTATCTTTATAGCAGTGTGAAAACAGACTAATGCAGCACAGATCCCCTAGCCTTGGAGTCTGATAGCAAATGTGTGCTACTCTTTGAAGATTTCATTGAAATCTCTCAAACACATCAGGTTTCCCCGTGGTGTTTACATAGTCTCTCAGGAAACAAATTTATATGTTTTTGCATGAATTGTTTACATATTTGTCTTGATCACAGGCTGAGAACTCCTTGAACACAAAAGCTATATCTTAATATCAATAATCCCTACAATTGGCATAGCAGTATTCAATAAGTGTTTGTTGAATAAATGAACAAATGAACAGAGATATCAACACCCACATCTAGATATAACTCAGTGACAAAATCTTAACATTACAGAAACTTGAAAATAAAATCTCAA
Organism: Homo sapiens; assembly: GCF_000001405.40. NCBI lineage: Eukaryota > Metazoa > Chordata > Mammalia > Primates > Hominidae > Homo > Homo sapiens. The sequence goes on along the minus strand of NC_000006.12, from coordinate 9,391,591 downwards.
TAAGATGTCATTTTTCAGCAATGCATTCTGGTTTTTTTTTGTAAAATCAAAAAAGTAGACATTAAGTGAAATATTCTAACCAACTAATATGCATCTAAAATTTATGCAGACAAAGGGAAGATATACATAAGCAATCACAGCCCCGTGACCTTGCTCCTGGAAAGGCAAATCAAAGTCAGAAAATTTATTTGATGGATTTAAAGACAAAGCATGGATAAGAAGTTCAAAAAACTCCTCAGCTACTCCTCAGTAATATAAGTGATTGTCTATTTCTAGGGCCTTGAATACTCAATAATGGGACAGGAACACTGGGAGTCAATTAGCACAGTAAGGAATACCCACTAATGTGGTTATATGTCTGCTCTCTGTTTTTCCTCTGTTACCCTTTTTTGTTTATTTGTTTTTGAGACAGCGTCTTGCTCTGTCACCCAGGCTGGAGTACAGTGGTGCAATCTTGGCTCACTGCAACATCTGCCTCCTGGTTTAAGCGATTCTTGTGCCTCAGCCTCCCAAATTGAGTAGCTGGGACTACAGGCACATGCCACCACACCTGGCTAACTTTTATATTTTTAGTAGAGATGGGGTTTTCCTATGTTGGCCAGGCTGGTCTCGAACTCCTGGCCTCAAGTGATCAGCCCACCTCAGCCTCCCAAGGTGCTGGAATTACAGGTGTAAGCCACCGTGCCCGCCCTATTAGTATTATTCTTGTCATAGTTTTAATGAATCGATAGGGCTAATATCAAAGGCCAGATCTACCTAAAAGGAAACAGTTTCACCTACCCATTTACCAGGAGTTGTTAGGCTGGTGATTTTGAAATTACCTACTTCTCCGAAAAGAATTTTACATTTCTCATTTCCTCTGTTTCTAAAGTCTTGGAGAATACCTCTCTATAGATCCTAAGTATTAACAATAGTCATTACTTGACCAGTTTGATTTGTGGCAAATTTAGTAGACAGGATAATGGTTTTCACATGGTGTTATGAAGAACCCTAGATGACATATGTGTCACACAACTGAGGTGGTCCAAAAGGTCAAAGTCAAACATCTCTGGGCTCATGCATCTCTTCCTTGTTTCTACCACTGTGGCTTCATGTATACTTTCTCACTTCTTGAACTTTTAAGTAATTTCTTTGAAGAAGGAGCTCCTTCAGGGAAAAGCTTTTTTAAAAAAATCTATTTCTCTGATGACCTAGAAAGTTCCAGAGGACAGGCTATGGGGAGGATGGAAATACGGGATTAGAACAGGGCTTACCCAGTGGAAGTAGACAACCTTAAAAAAGCATTTCAACCTCTGGTGATGCTCCAGAAAGTCTTCTGAAGCCACCTTTCCCTCCAAGTATTATTCACGGAATTTCAAGTGTGACCTGAGCCTTCCAGAAATCTCCACTTCAGTGACCCTTGAAGGCACCTCATCCACAATGGACCTCATCAATTTCTGCCCTCATGTCACTTGCCCAATAGCCTCTGTCTCAGTGAACATCACCCACATTCAGCCAATCACTAAAGCCAGAACCTGATGGGGATGGGCATAGAGTTACGCCTCTTCCTTACCTCCTTCATGAGGATAAGAAAGTCTGTGTATTTTGTCTTCCTCTTGGTTTCATCTCTTCATGCTCACTGCCATTTTCTTTTTTCAACCCCTCAACACGGTCTGCCTGGATTACTATGACAGGCTCCAGACCATCCCCTGCCTCCTTTTTCATCTTCTCCAGCCAGTTCTCTCTTCTGTAGCAGCACATTCTTTCTATGCCTTCAAGATAAAATAACAATCTGGCATCCCAGGTCTTTTGGTTCCTTCAGTACACTCTCTCTTGCCTTTTGTCTTCTGTTATGTGATTTTCTCTTCCAGGAGTATCCTCCTTGCCCCATCTTCACTTTCCAGCAGATTTAAGTAGCCCAGCTCACATGTTCCCACCATCTATTTCATGTACTTGTGTGACCACACTGAATCCATTGCACTGTAATTATTTATTAATGACTTCCCACCGCTTCTGTTAAGCCCCGCTCTTTAATCAAATTAGGAACTAGATGCATTCACTTTTGTATGCCAGCAACCAGTACAACAGCAAACACATAATGACCACTCAGTAAATGTGCTTAATGACTAAGATTCGATGAATGAATCTTTGGTATTATTTTTAGTTTTCTGCTTGATTTCCATGTCATGGTGCTTTTTGCCTGACAGAATTTCTTCTCAACTCTTGAATTTCTTCTCAACTTCACTTCCTGAGAGAGATTTTTGCAAAGCTGCCAAGATGTGCAGTATAGCTGCCCAAAATATGTACATTTCAATAAAAATGAATGCATATTTTATATTTTCTGTTGTCCAAATAATGTTTCCTTAGTCCAGTTGGTATCAATAATTGCATGGTAAGACTGGAAAAATATCTTTAAAATATTGTTATTTATTTTTCATCACTTTTGTTAAATACCACCCTTCCTTGCTTTTTTATGCTTTATAACTTCCAGAGTAATCTAACACTTAGCTGTTTGAACACGTGAGTATGGCTAATACAGAAAAGGGCTGCTAACTTGAAAACTGCTCAGTCATACCACAACTGGGATGGGAAGTGGACTCACGACCCATTGGCCCTTTCTGGGGCTATTTTCACATTTTCAGGTGTGGTGCACCTGTGTCTTTTTGGCAATAGGCTTTTCGGGAAGACACCTAAATCCAGAGTCAGCACTATGTCTCAGGTTCCTTTGGTGAGTTTTGCCATAATTGTAGCCACCAGTCTGAACTGCTGTGCCACAAATGCACACAACGGGCAAAAGTATGGGCTTTTGCAAGCACTGTGCAACTGCTCTCCTGTGAGCAGAGTTGAAAGCAGGAGTCAAGATGTATAGGGAAATTACACTAGATTTATTTACAGAAACCATTTATGTTGAACTAGCAGTTTCCTATTGTGTCAGCAATTTTCTATTGCATTTATTTGTTACTACAGTACTTGGCAAGAGTGCAATCCTATTAAACCTGTACAATACATTACACAAAACTGTAATCATTTTCTATTTTATAAAATAAAAAGAACTGTGACATTTGTACAATTGTGGAGTCCTAATAGAATTTCAAGATGGAAATGCATAGTCTTGGGCAAAATTGTTCTGAATGCACTTTTTCGTTCTTTTCTTACCTCACTTCCAGTGTTTTCTCTTTTCTTGATATGAACAATAACTATCTACGAGTCTTGACTTCATGAATCAAGATGAAAAGGAAGAAATTCCTGAAATCCAGCTTTCTTTCCTGCCTTCAGAACATTGGCTCAGCTTCTATTTTCCATAAACCAACAACCTTAAAGCTGGTTATTTAAATAATTTTAAAATTAACTACTAGTATTGTTATATTTATATCTCACAGACCAGTATTATCTAAGACAAATAGAATTAAGGTTTAAATTTAAATCACTCTGTGCTACTAACTGTTATTTCTACAAGACAATTTCTGCCTTCTCTTGCCATGTTCTGGAGCCAGTCTTGACCAACTCTGACTTTATTGAAGGAGGTCCCTTCACACCAGTGAGTGAGGTATGCAATTCATGTGGCTACCTCAAAATATGTCAGATATACTTGCTGTAGCAAGGCCTAGGCCAAACTGCAATATGTCAACAAAACTATAACATATTCCCCTAAACCTCAATAAATTTGGCACAACCTATCCAGTATAGGACTTCCAGATTGATTGCCTGGTTGGTGCTCCATATTCACATTCTTCTCTAACACTGATTCGCTTTCTGACTTATTGACTAAAGGTTCAGATTCACCATCCTTGCTCTAACATGTTGTAACTAAGAGATTTTGGGCAAACTGATGAACTTTGCTGAGCCTTAGTATTCTCACCATTAAAATGCAACAATTAAACCTGCTTCATTATGAATATTAAGTTTTATTTACATTAGATTAAATATACTTATTGCACATAGTGTATGCTGAGGATTAAGATATAGAAAACAGGCCAGGCTCAGTGGCTCACGCCTGTAATCCCAGCACTTTGGGAGGCTAAGGTGGGTGGATCACCTGAGGTCAGGAGTTCGAGACCAGCCTGGCCAACATGGAGAAACCCCTTCTCTACTAAAATTAGCTGGGCAAGGTGGCAGGTACCTGTAATCCCAGCTACCCAGGAGGCTGAAGAAGGAGAATCGCTTGAACCAAGGAGGTGGAGGTTGCGATGAGCTGAGATTGCATCATTGCACTTCAGCCTTGGTGGCAAATAGTGAAACTTTGTCTCAAAAAAAAAAAAAAAATATATATATATATATATAGAAAGCAATTAGTACAGTTTCTAGGATGTAATGTGTGCTCAATTCATGGTTATTATTGAGGTAGATATGGTTGATATTGCTGATATCATTATTGTCACTACCGATCTCCTCTCATCTTCTTTGATGTTCTTTTATTTTTCTAATCATTAATGGGTGTCTCATTTTAAATAAAACTAACAACTCACAAAATTTGTATTTTCACTTTGATGATCATTATTTCCTAGAAATTCTTGCTAATATACCAGTGTAATCTATTTTATCAACAAGCTAAAGAAGAAAAATATTATTATTATATCAAGTGACAGTGGAGAAATCATTTGACAAAATCAAACATCCAGTCATGACAAAAACCTTCCACAAGTTAGGAATCGAGGATAATTTACTCAACTTGATAAAGAACATATACAGAAAAAAATCCTACACAGTTAACATCACACTTTTTTTTTTCCTTTTTGAGACAGGGTCTCATGCTGCCGCCCAGGCTGCACAGCTGTGATTTCGGTCTACTGCAACCTCGACCTCCTGGGTTCAAGTGATCCTCCTACCTCAGCCTCCCGAGTAGCTGGGACTACAGTCGTGCACCACCAGGCCCAGCTAATTTTTTTGTATTTATAGTAGAGATGGGGTTTTGCCATGTTGGCCAGGCTATTCTTGAACTTCTGCACAAAAGTGACCTTCCCAACGTGGACTCCCAAATGCTGGGATTACAGGTGTGAGCCACTGCACCCACCAACATCACACTTAATTGTGAAAAGCTGAATGCCTTTGCCCTGACATCAGGAAAAGGCAAGGATGATCACGATCACATTTTTTATTCAACATAATACTGGAAGTTCTCTTCACTGTAATAGGCAAGATAAAGAAAGAAAAGGCATACAGAGTGGAAAAGAAGAAATAAAGCTATCTGTATCAGATGATATGATAATCTCAACATAGAAAACCTTAAGAAAAACATGCAGAAACCTCAGAATTAAGTGAGTTCAGCAAGGTTGTAAGATACAAGTTCCCCACACAAAACTCAATAGCATTTACACATATACTAATAATAATCATGCAGAGACCAAAATAAAAATGCAACATTATATAAAATTGCACCAAAGGAAAACATATGGGTATATGTCTAACAAAACGTGCACAGGACCTATATATTGAAAATTACAAAATGCTCGTGAAATACATAAAAGAAGACCTAAATAAAGGAGACACTTATTGTGTTCATGGATTAGAAGACTCAACATAGGCCAGGCACGGTGGCTCACACCTGTAATCCCAGGACTTTGGGAGGCCAAGGCAGGTGGATCATCTGAGGTAAGGAGTTCAAGACCAGCCTAGCCAACATGGTGAAACCTTGTTTCTGCTAAAATTACAAAAATTAGCCAGGTGTGGTGGCACGCACCTGTAATCCCAGCTACTAGGAAGGCTGAGACAGGAGAATTGCTTGAACCCAGGAGGTGGAAGTAGTAGTGAGCCAAGATCTCACCACTCCACTCCAGCCTGGGCAACAGAGCAAGACTCCGTCTCAAAAAAAAAGAAGACTCAACATAGTCAAGCAGTCAGTTCTCTCCAAATTGACCTATAGATTTAGGGCAATTGTAGTCAAAATCCCAACAAGGCTTTGGTAGACATAAACAGGCTTATTCTAAAATCTATCTGAAAAGGCACAGGCCCTAAGGATAGTTAAAACAATCTTGACAAAAAAGAATAAAGCAGAAAAAGTTGTTCCACCAATATTAAGTCTATGTAGCAACAGTAATCAAGGCAATGTTGTACTGTTGGAGAAAAAACACATAGATCCACAAAACCAAATAGAGGAGCCAGGAAGAGAGCCACACATGATACTCAACAGACTTTGACAAAGATTCAAAGAAGGAATTTTGCTCTTGAAGAAGATGTGAGAACAAATGAATATCCATAGGCCAAAACCAGCCACATGAATGAATGAAAAAAAAAAAACGGAAAAAATACTACTTAAACTTCACATACTATACAAAAATTATCTCAGAATGGATCATAAGACTTCAATGCAGGATATAAAATTATAAAACTTACATCGGGCAAAAGTACTTGCTGGTATTAGATTTCAGGATAGTGGTTACTTTGGGGAAGGTGGGGCTGGTACTGACTAGGATGGGTAGAAGGAGAATTTCTGAGGGCTAGTAATGTTCTATTTCTTGATCTACATGGTAGGTGAAATGGGTGTGTTCACCCAATGGCAAAAATTCTCTGACACGTGCAATTATGATTTATAACTTTTCGGTATGAATATTTACAAATAAAGTTTTTTGGCTTAGGGTTGAGGAGGGGACCAACAGGGGAGCCAGGGCGGCCCTTCTGTTTCTTAGCAGTCCCACTCTGTAACATTAGACCCTTCCTCAAACACCCTCCATTTTTCCCCATTAACTAAAGAATGACATTCAAATGCAATAAAATGGCATGTAAGACTCTTTGTTACCCAATCCCACCGTCTTTTACCCAGCCACTCCCTTTACCCCACACTCTGCCTCCATTCATTTTTAACTAATATTGGTTGGTTTCTTACTTGGTGCAGAGCATTGTGCTAGATGATAGCAACTGATTTTGGAGCAACACATACAGGGTTTTCTCTCTTGTAGATGTTACCATCTAGTCAGGAAGACATGATTAAATGGTCAATTATATTTAATAAGCTTGAGTGTTATGACAGAGGAAAAGTAGGATCTTACAGGAACATAAAGAAGAAACATCTAACTTAATCTAGAGGAAGGGAGCAAAGACTTCTGGCAATTAAGTTGAAGCTAATAAAAAGGTTCATAGATATTCACAAAGTAGAATGCTGTGTGTGTGTGTGTGTGTGTGTGTGTGTGTGTGTGTGTGAGAGAGAGAGAGAGAGAGAGAGAGAGAGATGTGATGTGAAAGAGAGAAAGGAAAATCCAGACAGAGCGAAAAAGAGAGATACGTTAACAAGTCACCGGTTAACTTAATTGTGAGAGACTTGTCTTACATGGCTTCAGTGGGCAGAATTAAACCAAATATTTGGACCCATAGGAAGAAAGATTTAGTATTTTTAAATGAACTTACTTTTAAAGAATTTAAAAATAGCTAAATAACTTTCTGAAATTAGAATAACTATTATGTTGAGTTTTTCATTGCAGTAGCTTTTCAAACCAGATGACATAACATTTAAGCTTAAGAAGGGGGGGATTGGACTAGAACATCGTTCAGATCCCTTCTGACACAATGACTGTGTGATAAGCATGGACTACATGCACTGCCTTTTGGTTCTCAATAATTCATTAAGGTGTTGCTACTTCTAAAGAACACATTTGGATTATGATTTCTCAATAAATAGGACCCATATGAACACAGAAAGAGACTGAAATATATATGCTTATATTTCTTATATTACGAAGCAGTGATTCCTTTTTTTATAAAAGTCACTACCACATATTTAATCATAACTAAAACAGGTTACATTTTTTCCTGGTGTGAAAGTAGTAGAAAAGCACATCTACTTCTTTTCCCCTTCACTTTGTAGCTAGCAGCATTTACTGTTTGACAAACTACAACAAGCCCGTGCTATCTGAAGGGGTTTTTGAATGGTTAGAACTAGAAAATAAGGGAATATCATGAAATCTCTGTTTGTCCTCATGGGTAGTCTAGTCAAGTTTCTAAATCAAAGAAGTTATATTTTGTTTGCTTCTGTAAATTGCTTTAAGTTCACCTTCTGTTAAGCAGAGCAAATAATTTGTTTGTATGTAAGTATTGAGATATTTTGAATTTGTCAATGAGTGGCACATATGAAGTGGGCCTTGGATTTCAAATAATACTGAAACTATTTAGATTTCTTTCTTTCTTTTCTTTTTTTAAAATTATCCCATGTGATTCTTTAACTTCTTTTTATTTTTATAGATTTAGGGGGTACAAGTGCAGTTTTGTTACATGAATATGTTGTGTAGTGATATGAAGTTCGGGCTTTAGCGCGTGCATCGCTTGAATGGTGTACATTGTACCCATGAGGTAATGTCTCATCTCACTCCTTTGAATTTCTTATTTCTTACTGTAGCTATCATCCAAGTTGGTTTTTGTTTTTCCTCAATATTTTACTCAATCACTTTCTGCCAGAATATTCCTTCTGGGCCTGAAACCGCTGCATTTGGCCAGGTAATGCCATTCTCCTCTTGCAGTTTTGCTCTTTGGAACTGATCTGGAGATGTATGGGCTTGTTTTCCAAAGAAAAGCATTGGTTAGACTACCAAGATTAGAAGCTACCTAGGTGTGTGGTAAAACCGTTCAAAACGTAGCAGAACAAGGCTTGTGAATGGAAACGTAATACCTGAGTTACATTCTGCTTGAAAATGTAACAAATATAGATGAGTTAAAAAGGAAAAAATAATTTGTTGAGGAAGAGAAGTTTAGGTTCCAATTTAGACAATAACTGTGATTAAATCCTTGCTAGAGCCTGAGCAAAACAAATGAAATTGAGTGGCTTGTAATAATCAAACAGACCACAACCGAAGACAAACTTCAGTCACAATTTACTTGCTAATGACTTCTCCCCTTCCTATTGCCAGTACACTATTGGCCTTGGAGGCTGAACCCTGAAAGCACTAAAAACCTTTGCTTAATATTGTATTCAATCTATTTCCAGGTTTTTTTTTCTTTGTGTTTATAGAATTTTTTTCAATTATCTGGTAATACATTTCAGTATATAGATTAAAAATATCTTGGAATTTTTATCCAGCATATTTGTTTCCTCCTAAGATTCTGAGTGCAAAGGAATAACAACAAAATCAAGTTAAAAAAATCAATATGCAATTTAAATTGTAAAATTCTATTTTCATTAAACTATTCTTCTATGTGGCCAATTTTATATATATATATGTATATATGTCTAGACATATATATATACATATATGTATATACATATATGTATATATACATAATATATGTGTATAACAGCAAAATACAGCCTCTCTTTGATACAAAAATTGAAATGTGGTTTACTTTTTATGAGGTAATAAGTGACACTGCATTATTTTATCTTCAAAGTCGGCATTGAGAAATTTTAAGTTGACCTGGCTGATTTATTTAAAATAATTAAAAAAAAGAAAAGGAAGAGGAGAGAGAAACTGAGAAAGGGAAGGAAGGAGATGAAAGGAGGAGGGAGGTAAGAAAGAGAAAGTAGAGAGAGGAAGAGAAGAGAAAGAAAGGGAAGTGATAGAAAAAAAGGAAAGAAAAGAATCAGAAAATGTCCATTTCAAGCGTTAGAGAAGAACTTGTAAATCAAGGTTAACATTGCCTATCTTTGGTTTTGTGGTATTAAATAAGCATAAGGCAAGAGAAAGGTGTTATGTTTGGACTCATAAAGATCTACTGTAAAGTGACATTAATTGGAAACATTAGCAACAGGTGTTTTTCTAACAACACATCTATCTTGCAGGATTAAAACTGCCGGTCTAAATATTCAAATATTTTTCTCCTGTGGTTGATTGTTACACAGCAAATAATATTTAACACCAGCCAGATTGACGTTATTTGGTTATATTTCTTCTTCTTTAATGAATTGTCATGCAAAGCAAGGTGTGTGAACATATGTTTTCCCTATTACTTCTTTTATATATTTTTAAACACTTAGCCTGGAATGTTAAACCTCATACGGAAGAAATAACATATTAGTATTGAGGGTATTTGCAAACATATATGCTATGAATCATGTGTTAACATGATAATTGTTTCCACACACACATATATACAACCCATAACAAGAATGATTAAAATAATTTAAGGGAAACCTACCATAAATATTTGGACTCATTTTTTTAACACAAACTTTTTTTGGCCTAGTTGGTAAATATATCCTAAAATGAATTAAATTTGTAAATGTCTTTGTTTATTCATGTTTATAATTTCTTTTCTTTATTAAGGGACTCTCTCCCTAAACTCTCCATATACAATTATGACTTTAGCTTGTTTATGAGGGTTAAAAAATTAAAATAAGGTAACAAAAATCCCCCACTGAATCACTAACTAACTAAAGTTAAAAATATTTGTCCCAGGTCCTGAAAGTTAAAAACCTCAGGTTCTGAAAGATGATGAGACAAGACAAAGGAAGTCCTAGAGAGTGGTCTGTTTGATGGAAGTGCAGGCCTGCAATTTATCCCCTCTCTCACATACGTTTTCTACTCACCTTCCCCTTATGTTACTAGAAAAACAAGAAAAGGCCTTTGGGTCACCAATAAGATCAGTTTTTTAAAAACAAAATTAGAGCATGTTAACCAATAACATATGAAGGTGCACAGCGCAAGCATTCCTTGAAGGAACTTGAGCCAAGAACCCTCTGGGTCCAAAATATCAGTTTTAAAAAATACGTATTTTCCTTCTAAAGATATAGGTAATAGCACTCTATTAAGATTTGTAATATTCAATAAACAAATTAGGAGCAGGTTTCTAGATGTAAAATTATTTAATTACTCAATGGAAACTTGACACAGCCACTTTAGACACACAACAAATGCCATGTGTGAAGTTCTCATGTCGTTTCTGAGAATTTTGAATCAAGGTGCATTTTGTTTTCTATTTTTTATTCTTCCTTTTCACTATGACTAGGACGGGGTTATGGAGGGAAGAAATTATCAAGAAAAAAACCCACTCTTTCCTGTTGACAATAGTGACAGCAGAGCTGTCTCACATGGTAACATTAAGGAAAATGTAAATTTGCTCTAATTTGGGAAATCCTATTCCATTTTTTCTTCTTGCAATATATTTATGTACATCACTTTTAAAGTTAATGGTGTGTCCAAGTTTCTAGCATAGCTGACTTTTAGGACTTTGTTTTTCTTCTCAGTCCTACCACTGTCTCACTATGACATTTCCGCACATCAATTCTTTCTTTCCATCTTATTGTATTCATTAGAAAATGTCCCCATTGTTGCTCTTAAATCTGTGAAATAACAGAGTCACGTAACCAAAAGAACAAGAGAGATATACACAGGAAGTCTAATCTAAAGAGTGTCCCGAGAAGAATAGAATACATAAAGAATGTAATAGCATGATGTTTCTGACATTATAAGAAGTCCAGATATGGTCAGCCAATTGCTCAGAGCTGCTTGAGAGCTTTTCAAAGTTCCTGATCCTTGCTAGCTTCCTCATGCACCATTCTTCACTTGTGGCTCTTGTCCTCATTCTCACTGTATAGCTGCTCCACATCCAGGCATCACGGCTGCATTCCAGGCAGGAGGAAGGAGATATGGTAATGGTAAAAAAAAAAAAAAAAAAACTTGTGTCTGTTGATTCTGTCAATTCTGCTGGAAGATAATAGCAGCTTTCCATAAGTTGTACCCAGTTGAGCTCTGCCAATAAGGTGTAACCAGTACAACTTATTGGCTAGAATTGAGTCCCATTATCATCACTGGACAGCAGGGATTTGGAAAGGTAAGTATTTCCAACAGAATAAAGCCAAGGTTCTGTAAATAATGGAGAAAGGAAAAGTGGGCAGTGAGTAGGTAGACAGCAATACTAGCCCCAAGGGAAGAGAATGTCTTGGGGCTAGTGACAAATGCCTAAAGTGAATGCCTAAAGTGACAAACCTCTTGGCCTTTGCATTTGCATTCACTAGGACACTGTCTTTGGGAATAAGTTAGAGGAAGAAAAGAATAGCTGAATGAGTGAATGAATGAATCAACGAATTGACTGTTCTCCAGAACTGGGGTTATTATAACTACTTACAACTCTTGTGTTACCTGGCAATGTACATGGATAAAAATAGTCTCTGAGTGCTTGTTTTCCGAACTAAACTTTAGAAAAGTGACTGATTTCCTAAATCCAGCACACGCACATACACAGCCTTGTAGTAATCTAAATTTAAAGTTCAATGGCTGGGCACAGTGGCTGACGCCTGTAATCCTAGCACTTTGGGAGGCAGAGGTGGGCAGATCACTTGAGGTCAGGAGTTCAAAACCAGCTTGGCCAAAATGGTGAAACACCATCTCTACTAAAAATACAAAAAATTAACCAAGCATGGTGGCACATGCCTATAATCCCAGCTACTCGGGAGGCTGAGGCAGGAGAATCGCTTGAACCCAGGAGGCAGAGGTTGTAGTGAGCAGAGATCTTGCCGCTGCATTCCAGCCTGGGTGACAGAGTGAGACTCTGTCTCAAAAAATTAAATAAATAAATAAAGTTCAGGGTCAAAGTAGATACTTGAAGACAATTAAGAAACTAAAAAGGAATGGGATTCTGAGTTCCTAACAAAAATGTTCATGTCATAAAAGCACATATGCACACAATTTACGTAGGAAAACCCTATTTATAATTTGTTTCAGGATGACTTTGGCAGATAGACTTATAACATTTTGTCTGTACTTCTTTTAGCAAATCAAACCATAATACAAAAAGAACATAAATTTTATTATTTATTTTTGAGCCTCGTTTCTTTCTAAGTCTCTGTGTTTTCAGTAATAGCTCTTTACTAACTTCCTGGACCTTTCTTTTTCTTATACCATATACTGGATCAAAAAAAGGCTAGTATCAGTATTTTCTCTTTTTTCATATTTCAATAATTATTTCTGTCTTAGGTCTTAGATGATCAATAAGAAAGCTTAGTATTATTTATTAAAGTGTAGAGGAAAACCCATAACATAGTAATAAATATTGATTGTGGATATTTTAAATCTCAACATCTTTTTTGGCTTCTGAAAATTTACTACAGTCATAGAAATGTTGTATTTCTAAAATTCGCGTCTTAGGTTTTTCCCACCCTCTTTGGTGACTGCTTTTAAAAAACATCATATGACTTAACATATATTCGTTAAAGGGATTTTGGTGAGAGCTGGCTTATTTAATATTTTTACATATTTTAAATCTAATGCAATCTAAAATATTGAATTGAAATATCTTGACTAAATATTTTATTTCAATCATTTACATTTCTGAATTCAAGTGATGACAAGATCAAAACATTATGGTCTCTGAAAAGTTACACTTGGGAAATGATCATTTGTTTAGTTCCTAAAAATTAGTTTATTGTCACTCTTAACCTCTAGAAACCTAGCATCTAATCAAAGCCTTATTATCAATGACCTAGAAACCATAAAAGTCCAATGAGTTGAGATGGTTATTTTGTAATCATATATCAGATTGTTATACAAAGATCTTTCTTCTCTCTATTCCCAAAATGTACAGAACTAGTCAGCAATTTTATGCATTAATATGCCTGCTGATATAACATTTAATACAGAGAAGAAACTTAAAGATAACTAAGCTTTTCTAGCTCTCTCATTCTTCAGATGAAAACATGAAATTCAAAATGTTAAGCAATTTTCTAAGGAATCTTTCGGTTGCTTTTGAAAGAGTCAAAAGTTCTCGTACCCTGAGTTTTTCTCCCCATTAACCACAGGAAATCTCTGGTCACAGAACTTAAATGAAAGTCAAGAGGGTCGTTCGAGTCATCTGTTCCGGAGGTTCTCAACCAAAATGAGGCAAACAGTTAACATTGAATCCATGCATGACTCTCTCCATTCCCAAGGCATGCAAGGTGCAGCCTGGGGTCTCTATACACCGTGGGCAAGTGGCATACAAATCCCAACAGATCTACTCCGTTAACTATAGTACATATAATTTTCTATATGTACCACGGCAGGAAAATAAATGAGAAGATGAATCTATTTCAATGTACTTCCCCAGATAGAATCCTCTATGTTATCTCTGCATGGTGACCATTCATTCCACTGGCCATACCTATTAGACAGGAGAATGGACCTGACAGATGTGGGGTTAATGGCAGACACTGTCCAGGTCTCTGCCTTTGACCAAAATTCCTCCACAACTTCTCCATGTGAAGAACGGTGTGGCATATGAATGTACAAACGGTTTCTGCCTCTCTTTAACAGACTCTGTGTGAATTTAACTTACCCAAGAGACAGCCCTAGATCTATCCCCAGTTCTTTAAAGTAAACCTCAGCATGGAATGAAAAAGCCATATCGGTCAGCATATTGGAAGAAGTAGGGAGGTAAAGTAATTGTTTTAGTTAGAGTCCTAGGATTTTGTTTGGTGAGCCTCAGCTGAAATGGTCTGGATAAATGAGCACAAACATGATCATAACCTGAAAAAAAAATTCAAAGCAAAAGCTCTACTGATGGTGGCTCACTTTGATTACAAAGGAATGTTTACACATATTTAAGCTATATTTATGAACTTTAAAATTAAGTCCTATGCTCGTGATTATGGGATGAGAAAACATCACATATGTAGTATATATATAGTACATGAGTTAGTTCTCCCTGCAAAATAAGCCACCACGAAACCCCAGTGGCAAACAAAAGTAATCTTAAACATCTGGGGTGGTTGTCTAGACAGCCCTACTGGCCGTGCCTGTGTTTATAATACATAGGTCCAGGACTGGGTTTGCTGGTGGCTTATCTCTCGGAGCCTGTCTTGAGGAGATTGGGACAAATTGGTGCATTCTTCATACCTCTCAACTGATAGCGGGCTATCCTGGGTGGGCTTTCATGGCAATGGCAGAGAGTCAAGAGACAGCAAGCCCAACTGTGCCAACACTTTTCAACCCTCTGCCAGTATTGAGCTTGTTGAGTCCTGTGGCTCAAGCAATCCCAAGGCTGAGGCAGAGTTAGAATAGATGGGGATTTCAAACTTACATGGCCAAGAGCAGGAATTTAAGAAGAGGTGGGAAATTAGAGCCAGTTTTACAAGCTACCACAAAATATGGATTTAAATTACGTTGTAAATCAACATTCCACAAAAAACTATTTTTCATGTTCCTTGTGTAAGCACGCAATAAAGTGACAAACCTCAAACACCATGATAATACATTTGCTTCACTTGTAAAGTACTATTATTCTTCCCTTTGTTTGATAGAGAGAATCGTATAACCACTTCTAATTTCCTTGCGCCTTAGCTGCCAAGAAATTCAAAGTTAAATATAATGTATTTTACAAAAGTATATGTTTGGTGTACTTTTCTTCCTTTGCTGTGACTTTGGGCTTATATTTTTAATCGTATAATCCTATCCCCTTTATTTTATGTAATTCAATTTTAAATCATTAAATAAAGCAAACATTATATTTTGTAAATAGATAATGCACTATAATATGATATTGTGACAAGCTATGTTCTGGCATTTGACTTCTAGTGGGAAAACTTAAGTTGATGGTTTCTATAGGAATTCAACTGATAAAAACAATTCTAATCAAACTTCGTTGTACTTTGATAATTCACTTTCCTTTTGTCAAGATGTTGATCCAAACCTCAATCAACCAGGCATTTTTACTCCTTGCAATCTAGAATGTACATTTACATTTTTAATTATCATCTTGTTGGGGGAGAATTAAAATTTTACTTCCCATAAAGGGTCTGCAAAACTCTTCAGTAATATTGAGCTATTTTACACGAGGAAATGTAGACATGTTAAGGTCAAGTGATTTACCTCCATCATGCAACTAATCAATGGCAGAAGGAGGAGGTGACCAGAGCTATAGGACTTGTTCAGCATGCCGAGCCTTATTAAGCCGCACAGACTCACATATATTTGATACTCAGACAGAGGTATTGAGATCGGACCACCACCTCACACAGGTGGAAATGTGTGTACAAGGCCTGTTAAACATGATATATTCCTAATGTACTGCAATTACTGAAACACCTGTGGCGTAGAATGCACTCTGTTCTTGAGGGAAAATGTGTAGCTCATTCAAATAGTTTGCCTCACATTTCATTGCCTTTACCTGCAGTTATATGATCTACTGGTTCCACATTAGGGCAAATCGTAAGAACTATTTCTTAATTATAGTGACTCTGAGGTGTGACTGTGTTGATTTGCAGGGTTTATTTTTCTTTCTTAGAATTTGTGCTAGCTTCAGTAGCCTGTTAGGAAAAAAAATGTGTTTCAACTGAGTGTTCAACAGCTCTGAGAAAGCCATCTGCCCAAGTTATCAATGCGTGGAAAACACTCACACACTGAAATAGGATTCAACATCCATTTAGAATCTGGAAATTTCCCACATAAATCCTTTAGTTCAATAACACGCCGCAGGCCCTTACTGCCCAACAGGTGGAAACCGGTTTGAGAGAGCTATTGAGAGGGCAATTCTCTTTCTAGAACATTCTCAACCTCGGGACCATGGTGCATGTGTTTATACAGTTAGATAGGTTCAATCCCTGATTGTTTCTGAGGGAGAAAAGAGCCAGTAAGAAAAATGTAAATACGGAGTATGATGACATTACAAAGGTGAGAAGAAATAATTCTTACAAGTCAATCTTCTGGTCATAGAAAAAAAAATATTGCAACTCTTTTGAAATAATTTTTTGAGGATTTTAAAATATTTTAGAGCCACAACTATAATTTAAAAGTAATTTAAAAATTCATTTTTCTAACAATTCACTTACAAAATTTAATATTAAATATATAGAGATGAAATTTCCTTTGCACTCTTTCCAGTTTTATCTCAAGAGGATACTAGTGTATGTGTGTGTCTGTGTGTGTGAATGGCAATTATTGACACTTTGCTGTATACTTTTACTATATATGTAAGTTTCTTTAGAATTCTGAAATATATACAGTGTTGTTTTGCAAATCAAACTTCATATTAATATATGGTACTGCATGTGACCTACTGATATTTGCGTTTTTGGCTTTGAGATTTGTTCATGTTTGTATATATAGCACTAATTTGTTGCTTTTACTGCTGTATATTATTCTGTAACATAAATATAGTCCACTTTAGTATCCATTCCCCTTCCTGATGAGTGGTTGTGTTGTGTACAACATGATTTGATATTTCTTAGGAATGCTTGACATAGCAATATTTGTTGAGTAGTCCATCCATTTCTCACTGACTTGCAATGGGGGGTCATAAATCATCTTTTGCATATACATGTGGCTTTGCTTTCAGACTCCCTATCCTACTCTACGTGCCTGTTTATTGTATGCTTTCACTGTAAGTCTTGATATCTCACAGGGCGTGGTCTTTCACCTTCTTATTCTTGACTGCTGTGGCCTCATTGCTCTTTTTCTATAGGAAAGGCTTACAATTTTGACCCCCTAGAAAGGCTGAGATTTTGATTTAAGTTATATGGATCTTACAAATTAATTGAGGTAAATCTGGCATCTTTATACTAGTGAGGGTTCTTATACACGATAACTTTTTATTTGTTTAGGTCGTCTTTAATATATCTTAATAAAGGTTTATACTTTTCAATATAAAGCTCTTGCATATGGTTTGTTGGACATGTTCCTTTATTTTTATTTGTAAAATGAATTATTTCTAAAATTTATTTTAACTGTTTGGGGGTTTTGAAAATCAAATGTTTTTTTAATATTTATTTTACTATCCGTAAACCATGTTAAAGACATGAGACCTAAAGTCTGGAGTTATAATATAGATGCATTATTTATGTTGTTGGGATTGGCATTCTTTAAAGTGAAAATATAGAGGGAAGATAAAGAGAGACTTCTAATTTAGAAGTCTGGTAAAGAAGTGTGACTGCATAAGAGAGTGACCTCACATGGCAGAGCAGCAGACTGTTCCAAAGAGGCAACGGTCAATCATGTCAAATGCTACTAAGAAGTCAAGTAAAATAAAGATTAATAATTTAATAAGGAATAGATCAGAAGTTACACTACAATATATTGATAAGTGAATAGGAGATTAGGAAATAGAAGTATTATGTGTAAATCATTCTTTTAAGAATTTTGAGAGTGAATGGCAGCAGAAAAATTGAGTGAATATATATATATATGTTTAAAAACATGCTACACCATTAGGAATGCCTGAAGATACTCCTGAGATTTCTGTGTAGACAATTATACTATCTGAAAATTATGCTGACATTTCTTTTCAATCATATTGCTTGCCATGGATATTGGATAATTATCTTACTGCTCAGATAAAACCATTGATACTATGTGGAATAGCTATAGAGATCATGAGTGTTTTAAAAGAGTTTTCACCACCAAGGAAGAGGTGTGATAGACACTATTTATCAGGTTAAGGATATTTCTTCTTCTATCCCTTTTTTGTTTTTTGTTTTGTTTTGTTTTGTTTTGTTTTTGAGAAGGAGTCTCACTCTGTCGCCTAGGCTGGAGTGCAGTGGAACAATCTCAGCTCACTGCCACCTCTGCCTCCAGGGCTTAAATGATTCTCCTGCCTCAGCCTCCTGAGTAGCTGGGATTATAGACACGTGCCACCGTGTCCAGCTAATTTTTGTATTTTTAGTAGAAACGGGGTTTCACCACATTGCCCAAGCTGGTCTTGAACTCCTGACCTCAGGTGATCCACCCTCCTCGGCCTCCCAAAGTGCTGGGATTACAGGCGTGAGCCACCGTGCCTGGCCCTATCCTTCCATTTCTAACTCACTGAGTATTTTATCCCATGAGTGGGATTTGAATTTTGCTAAAAAATTTTCAGCGTTTTTGAGGAGAACAGTTGCTTTTCCTTTTATATATTAACATAACATGTTACAACAATGGTTTTTCTGGTGTAAACATATTATTGAGTTTCCGTGCTAAAAACAATTAGTCTTGATGAATTTCTATGTTTACATATTAGTTGATGAAGTCAGCTTCCTAATATTTAAAAATATTCAGACATACGTTCATTCATAAGGAGACTGACCTCTAATGATTTTTTTCTTATATGATCCTATATAGTTTTGATATCAGTTATTAATCTTTATAAAATAAGTTATTCAATGCTTATTCATTATTTTCTACTAAAGTTGTTGTTAGGTTGGAGTTCACTATCTTTTGAAAGTGTTAGAATGTAACTCTAATACCATCTGATCTGTTAGGTTGTATCAATATATGTGTGTATGTTTTATAACTAACAGTATCTGGTTATGAGCCTCTCTCGGGTTTTCATTTCTTCTTGAGACAGCTTTCTTAAGTTATAATTTTAAGGTATCTTTTATTTCATTTAAATTTTCAAAATTATTTTGATCAAGTTCATCATTGCACTGTCTTTATGTTTTTATAATTTCTGATTTCTCTGTAGTTGTATCACCTTTTTAAACCTTAATATTCTTAATACTAAGTACTTGTGCCATTTCTTTGTTTTTCTTGATTGTAAGTTTGTCCATTTCCTTAATCTTTATAAGGAATCACCTTTTGACTTTGTTGGTTCTTTTCAATTCACATTTGCATTCTGCTCTAAATTTCATTATTTCCTTTCTTTTTAAAAATTTATTCTATTTGTTTTGTTTTGTCAGTTTGCCACTTTGGATAATAAGTGAATTTTTAGCCTTTCTTTTCTAAAATTATATGTAAAGTAGTAACATAACAAATATAACAATAACATTTCCATCTAAATGTAAGTCTAATAGTAACCCTCATATTTTCCGAGGTAATATATTGATATTATTCAGTTCTAGATATTTCCAAGTTTCCATTTTGATTTTTCATTTAACCTATGAATTATGTAAATATGTGTGGATAAATTTTCAAATGTTTAAAAATTTTTCTGCATCATTGTTTTCTTAATGTGCTTGATAATAATATGGATTTTCTGGGTCTAGAACTGAATTGCATTATCAAAATTTCTTTAATGTCCACCTTTACCGACTTTTGTTCATGATGATGTATATCACTTGGTTTTTGGTAATTTTGAATTGTGAGTTCATTCTTGGAAGAGCTCTCTGTGAGAAGCCATATTCAGAGAGAATTGGCTGGCTTTTGCCAGCCATCCCACAGTTGCTGTAAGTGCTTCAAACAGACCCTAACATAAGTACCACTTTAACTTATTTTATTTTAATTTTTTTGGTTTTTGCTTTCTTCAATCATAAAGGCAGGATATACTTCAACCCTAAGCTCCTCTAAAGGTATAGCCATGCAGCCAAAATCTTAGGGGATTTGTTTTTCCTGCCCAGAGCCCAGGCTAAAAGTTAACTCCTTATAACATCTCCTTTCAGGAGAATAGTCTTTAGAGAATTTTGAAATTATGTGTGTGAGATGAATCCACTCTAATTTTCCATATTGACAAGCCTAAAGCCTTTCTTCTTATGGCTAGGTAATTAATAAAATTCAAGAGTCTTCAGTACTTTTATTGATAAATCCCCTCAATAGGGCAATATAAGTAGTATGAGCTCCCTGCTATGGTTTTTATTTCCTTCATCATATATGGTGCCTGTAATACTGTGATTTATAACAAAAAATATATATTTTGTCTTCATATCTGTTCCTGGCACAGAGCTCCTAAAACCCTTAGAATTTCCTAAGTGATAAGAGCAATAAAGCTGAAAGAAAGCTCTTTTGTTATTCATAAGTGATATGGTTTGACTATGTCCCCACCCAAATCTCATCTTCAGTTGTAGCTCCCATAATCTCCATGTTTCATGGAGGGGACCCAGTGTGAGGTAATTGAGTTACAGGGGCAGGTTTTCCTGTGCTGTTCTCGTAACAGTGAATAAGTCTCACGAGATCTGATGGTTTTATAAAGGGCAGTTCTCCTGCATAGCATGTAAGATGTGCCTTTGCTCCTCCTTCACATTCCACCATGGTTTTAAGGCCTCCCCAGCCATGTGGGACTGTGAGTCCATTAAACCTCTTTTTCTGTGTAAATTACCCAGTCTTGGGTATTTCTTCATAGCAGCGTGAAAATGGATAATACAATAAGAAATCTCTTTTAACCACACCTGAGTTATGTTAGTGATATGACTTTTGGAAAGCCCCTTAGG
Source organism: Homo sapiens (assembly GCF_000001405.40). Lineage (NCBI taxonomy): Eukaryota > Metazoa > Chordata > Mammalia > Primates > Hominidae > Homo > Homo sapiens. The sequence continues at coordinate 9,370,668 of NC_000006.12, read as the reverse complement.
ATTGGGTGACTGGTTGCCAAGGTAACTAGCTATGTGATTAAATCGTTTGAACTTTCAGCCCTACTCCACAACCTGCAGGGAGGGGAGAGGCTCTGAAGGTTGAGTTGATCACTTATGGCCAATGATTTAATCAATCATGCCTATGTAATGATAACCCCAGAAAACTGGATTCAGAGATCTTTGGGGTTTTGGAACACATGGAGGGTGGTACATTTAGAAAAGGCATGGAAACTGCACCCCTTCCCTGATACCTTGCCTTGTGTATCTCTTCCTTCTTTCTGTTCCTGAAGTATATGCTTTTATGAATGGATAAACATATGTAAAGTGTGTTTCCCTGAGTTCTGTCAGCCATTCTAACAAGTTTGAGTACATGAAAGTGGTTGTGAGAACTTCCAGTTTGTAGCCAGGTTGGACAGAAATTGTGGGTAGCTTGAGAACATACTGCTGGCCCTGGGCACCTGAAATGGGGACAGTCTTGTGGGAGTGAGCCCTTCATCTGTGGAATCTGACACTATCTCTAGATAGATAGTATCAGACTGAGTTAATTATCTGACACCCAGCTGGCGTCAGATAATTGGTCAGTGTGCACCCCCCCCATACATCTGGTCACAGAAGAGTTCTGTGTTGAGTGTGAGCATAGGAAAAAAGCTGGTTATTTTTGTTCTCTATACAATCCCCAAGTATTTCCTTTACATCTTTTTTTTTAAATAGACTTTTATTTTAAAAAATAGTTTCAGGCACACAACAAAACTGAGAGGAAGATACAGAGATTTCTCATATATCTGCTTCCCCCACACATGCACAGCCTGCTCCATGATCAATAACCCCCTCTGGAGTGGCCCCTTTGTTAATTAATGAACCCACATTAAAACATCATTATCACTCCGAGTCCATAGTTTACACTGGCATCCAATCTTGATATTGTACTTTTAAAAAATATCTTGAAAGCTCAAATATGCATGAAAAGAGATGCATGTTACATAATATCCCATATTCCTACATGTTCTATAGTTGGAGTGTTTTAACTACTGAATCAACCATTTAAAAAGGGATGGAAATGAAGCCGCAAATATATCTTCTAAAATTTCATTGATTAACTTCTCATTTTCTGGAGGCTCCTTAGGAATTAGAAAAGATAGCATGTGAGGAAAGAGGAAATAACAGAGAACTGTGAAATGAAGCAATGGACATGAACTGAGAAGATCCACTGACTAGGTCTGATCCTAGGCACACAGAGAAATGCAGGCACAGCCATCGGCAGAAAAATGCAGGTCTCTACACGTGAGATTGGGAATGAATTTCAAGCATGCCAGTTGCTTTTATATTTGGCTTAACCTACTCTTGCTGAGCTTGAAGCACACTGGTCATCCATGATAGATGAGGAAGAGAAAAAAATATCAAATTATAGTGTTCAGAGTTGTAACAACTTGTGTATCAGATGTTTAATGCAATATAAGGCATATCTAGGCTTTGCTTTTGCATTTTTTATAGCAACAAAATAATCTATAGAAAAATATGCAATACTGCTTAGCTACTTTATTAACATTTAAAGCTGTGTGTGTTTTTGTTTCATTTTACTATAGCACTCAATTTGGAGTTGTGTAACATCAGCACTCAGGGTCAACATCCTAGGAAAACAATAAAAAATAAACGAGCAGTAGGTTCTGTCCATGATCTAAGTGAAGGTTCATGGTTGGTGGGACACAGTAGTGGTTAATAGAGGAAGCTTTGGGCCAGCCTGACTCAGTTCAAATCCTGGCTTCTCCACTGACTACCTGCTTGATACTGGGCAATCTACCTTTACCTCTGTGTGTCTTAGTTACCGCACATAAAATATGGGAGTATATCAGAGGTGTTTGAACCAGGGTGACTCCATCTTGAATAGGGACTGGGTAAAATAAGGCTGAGACCTACTGAGCTGCATTCCCAGGAGGTTAGGCATTCTTAGTCACAGGATGGGATAGGAGGTCAGCACAAGATATGGGCCACAAAGACCTTGCTGATAAAAGGATGCAGTAAAAGAAGCTGACCAAAATCCACCAAAACCAAGATGGTGAAGAAAGTGACCTCTGGTTGTTCTCACTACTCATTATACACTAATTTATTATTTTACCATCATTACATCTTACATTTTTGCAAGTAGGGCTGATTATTTATTTTACACGCGTACTTTTTAACTTGAGGCTAGCACACAGTTGAAACTTGGTTAATGTGTGTGAGAATGTGTGTGGGGGGGTGCAGAGAGGGGAGGTTTCAGGGGAAGAAGGAAAGAATGGGGAGAGGAGAGATTCAGCAGAGTAAGGAACGATTGCAGCTGAGCCAGGTAGACTCAGATTGCATTCATCTGGCTATGCCAGCCAGCTTGTTGGCTAGAACCTGTCTGTATCACTTCATTCTTTTTGGTGGTCTAATTATTACTTGTTTGGTAATAATGGCCTCTATTAATGCCTACATCCTGTTAATTGTCTTTGGCATGAAAATGACTGAAAAAGAGCTAGTGAAAAATCACCATAAAATAAATACCTATAGTCACAGGTGGTTTCAGGGCCTTCAATTTTCTTGGAATAAATGATTTGCAGTAATTTTTAATGTTATGAAGGCACAATAGGATGCAGCACATTTATTATAAAATAAACAAAAAGTGCATTTGAAGAGCAAATTGACAGCATCTCTTTGCCTCTTTAGTAAAGCAGTTATGACTGTTTATTCACAAAAAGGCTGCATCAAGACTTCAGATCGTTATTTATTTATTTATTTATTTTGAGACAGTCTTGCTCTGTCACCCAGGCTGGAATGCAGTGGTGCGATCTCGGCTCAACTGCAACCTCCACCTCCTGGGTTCAAGTGATTCTCCTGCCTCAGCCTCACAAGTAGCTGGCATTACAGGTGCCCACTACCATGCCCAGCTACTGTTTTTTTTTTTTTTTTTTGTATTTTTAGTAGAGATGGGGTTTCACTATGTTAGCCAGGCTGGTCTCAAACTCTTGACCTTGTGATCTGCCCGCCTCGGCCTCCCAAAATGCTGGCACTACATGTACGAGTCACCATGCCCGGCCCCCAGATTGTTATTTTTTAAAGCTGTTGGAAATTGTTTTCCAGTTTCACTTATTTTGTGGAAGTTTTAAATAAATCTTTTTTCAATATGTTTCATCTTTGGAACACTGTCTGCCTAGTTTACAAGGCACAAAATAAACTTAGTAATTCTGTATGCTTTTATTCAAATTAGTCTAGATTTAAAGTGTAGCATAAAACCTTGTAGCCTGTTTCACAAAGCAATTAGTACTTATTAGTTCTTTCTTGACTAATTCTAGCTCTGTTCAAAGTCACTCTTAAAGCAAAAATAACATTAAAAGTAAATATTTTTACATGTAAAGACAAAGGTAGTTTTGTAACTTTGTTACACCGTGTATTTGTTCAGAGGGCTATTTCACTGCTCAATGAAGATCCCATAGTGGCTTAAAGGAAATGGAGATGTACCCCTTTTCCATGTGATCATCCCAAAGTAAGTAGTTTATGACTGACACGATCCTTCCAGGGTGTTGGGGAACCAGGCTCTTTCAGTTTCACACTTTGCCATCCTGAATGCATAACTTCCATCTTGCTTAGGTTGGCAGCTCCAGACTCCATCTCTACGTTGCGTTGTCTAAAGGTGACATAGCCAGGGCTTGTCTTTGCTAATCATGATCCACAGTGGATCATGTGAACTTAGTCACATGGCTCTGTTGCAGCACAGTTAAAAAATAAAATAAAATGACAAATCCTGAATATGTATTGTACCTCGCCTGTGAAAAGCCAAATACATTTTTATGTATTTTCATAAGAAATGCTTTCTATTCAACTTGAATGGCAAATTTAGAGTTACTATCTGTATTTTCAACATCCCAGCTTTAAGCCATTTGACTTCCTCAAGTGTATTTCTGTTCTTTAAGAACATTTTCCCAGCTTAACCTTGTTTTTATAATTTTGAATACAGATTTTTTGTTTTAGTTTTACTCTCTTTCTGTATGAGTAAAATATTAAATATCCAAGAATATAACAGCATATATAATAAAATTAGATGTAGATAATATATTGGTCTTGCTACACTCTAAAACTCTCCCTTATTTTAAAAGCGCTCTGTTAGTATATTATACAACATTAGACCCGTTTCTTAATACAATTACTTAAATTTTATTAAGCAATTTAAGTAGCATTTGACTTCAGAGATGTATAAAAAACTTAGAGAAAATACAAAAGCACTAAAAGAAAAGGAAAGAACTGGGAAATAGCCCATTTGATAAAAGGTAGAAGAATTGGAAAGTTTTAGCAGTAAAGAAAAATGAATGTGTGACTTAATAACAGTATTTACATGTATGAAGTATTCTCTCCCTTTTTTCTCTTTTCGGAGTGGAAACCAGGTGTCATTCGCTCTTGATCTCCAGTAAGAATAGAATGAAAGGAAATTAGATAAAATTGAGGCACATGGATCAGGACTAGATAGACCAAAGAATGACTTAACAGCAAATTTATCCCAGAGCTCATATAGTTCGCTTAAGAGAATGTGGACTTAAAAGTCAAAAAGACTTGCAGTAGAATATGCAAAATAAAGCCTTCAAAACCTTCGGGTTGAATAAAATGGGTATGTAGAGGAAGGTTTTGCAGAAGATATACTGAGGCCTCATTACATTTTCATGTTTTAACAATTGTCAGAAAATCTTTTAGATGCTTTTGAATTAGAAATGCACTTCAAAGTTCAAAATCCTTTTGATTCTGTCTTATTAAAGAAACAGAAGTAGACTGAGAAAGAAAATTTAATGTTCTTGACTGTCAGTTGGTTTTTACTATTTAAAGCTCTATTACTATTATAAAGTTTACTAGATACTAGTAAAACATTCCTAGTTTTCTATAACCAAAATTTGTGCTATATGTGTAACACTTGCTATTTTTCTCTAACATTAACTTCTGTTTTTGTTCTGATTATTTTCTATGCACTGGGCTAGGCATTTTCATATATTTTATTTTGCTAAATGCTTTCTATAACCTGGAGTTAATATTTTAATAATATTATTTACATGTAAATTATTACATAATTTATCAATATGATAATTACTATCACATAAATTATGCAACTTTTAAAATATTATTAAATATATTATACAAATGATATTTAATATTTAATAAACATAGAGGAGCACACTGAGACTGCAGACATTAAATGCTTTGCTGAAGGCCATCTATTGAAAAAACAGCAGAGATAAAATTCAAACTCAGATTTGAAATATCTGAGCACTCTGGTTACTCTGTTCTAGGTTTGAATTTTATCTCGGTTCTAATTAAATATATGATTTTAAGAAAATAGTTTAATTTATGATCTCGAATAACCTATAGCCCTTTCAAATGAATACACTGGTCTCCAAAAGGGTGAGAAAAATCTGGGGCCAAGGAGACAATGGAGGTGAGCAAGACTTGATTCTGATGTAAAGTCACCATGGAGACCATTCTGCATGAATCTGGGAGTTAAGGAGGAGGAATTTTGTATTAAATGAATTAAAAGGAAAACAAAGATTACCTATCAGTGCAGATAACTAAGATTCTAGCTTGCCTTGGCTCTAAATTGAGGGGGAAAATAAAATACCAGCCTCTCTAAAAACTTTTGAAACTAAGCTATACCATACATAGTGTCTCTAGTAGGAACAGAAATTATGCTTCTTGAATACGTAAAGAACTTTACAGATAAATTTATATAATGTGGACTGAGGCCTCCAGTTTTTGCAGATGACTGCCAGTGGCAAGTGCAACTCCTTTCTGGACAAATAATACTTCGACCCAGTCTTCCTATGGAGTGTTCCAATGGATTTAAACTCCAATAGAAAAAAAATTGTAGTAAAACATTCAAGAGTTAAAACCCACTATAAGAAAGAGACAACAGAAATAACAGTCAACAGAACTAGATACACAAAGATTTCAGATAGTGCAATTATAAAATGCTGAATGTAACATAAGTTGGATTAATGGATTTGAAGAAAATAAAAGTGGATTTTTTTTAAAAGTAAGGAGTGACTATTAAGCATCACCTACAGTTTGGAAAGAAAACCAGATAGAACTTTTAGAAATGAAGGATATGTGGATTTATCTCATACTCACTTTATCTGACAGCTCTCACAATGTTATCTACAGCAAAACTGAGGAAAGAATATCCCAATATTAACATTCTATTTATATTATTTTTATCTTATTTTAGGAAATACAATTAATTTACACACTGATTTTTTTTTCCTTGTGGTGAAATCTCTGATCAACTTTTAAAATCAGATGTCTGCATAACACGTTTATAAATCAAAATGAATATATTCTCTAGGGCTGAGGCTGTGACCATTTCCTTCTCACTTGGCTGTGGCCAGAAAATGGCAAGTAACTAATTACAGAAAAAGTGATTCAACCTATGCTTTTGAACATTTTTTGCTCACTTCTTGGTTTACATCTGTCTTACAACACTTCTTGCCTGAATTAATAAACAGAAATTGCAAAGGTTATAATTTGGCATTTTGGTCTTACTGATTCCAATTTGCAGTCATACCTTAGGCTCCTTTAACCTTTTATGCCTTGGTTTCCTCAGCTGTAAGTGAGAATAATAAAGTTGACCTATTTCAGAGAGGTGCCAGATGAATCTAATAAATTATTTTTAAAAGGCACATTTAAATACTATGATATAATATTTTGGTTCCTATGAGTCATAGAAACATGCAAAATATATCCACATTCCCCTTAAGTACTATATTTCATAATGATAACTAGTTTACAAATATCTAAGATTTTGCAATGTAGAAAGAAAGTGTTTAAATTAAAATCAAGCCCCTTTTACAATTCTACACCTCATGTAAATTCATCTAACGATAGGTATATCATATTTCCATGTTTTCAGTGAAGGTCAAGTGTGTCATAAAAAGGTAATAAAAGTAGAGCACAAGATGCACTAGTTAATTCCTAATAATATACTTAATGAAATTCTTGAACATTCAACTTACTGTGTGTTCAATATAAACCAATGTTATCTTCTCACTCTATCATAGATCAGTGATGACACAGCAGAGGGGAGGATGCTAAAAGCCAGTGCTTGGATCATAAATAAGCACACACCTGTGGGGCGTATTGGAAAAAAAAAAAAAAATCCCAATAGGGGATGTTTGGTTTAAGACTTTTAATGTAGTGAGTTTCTAAAATAAATAAAGTTTCTGACTTAATTGGCCTCACCATATTGTCTCTTGAGTCTCCTGTCCTGCTCCTGTACCACAGCACAATAAATACTTCTTTTTTTTTGAGAAGGAATAAGATGGTTCTTCATTATTATATCATGCAGGATCTAGGCATTTGAATGAGTCCATTCAAATAAACTTGAGCATGCTTATCATCCAATGAGTATTCAGAATATTTCCAAAGTGTCTTCAGAAGTTGCTAATTTCTTAAGGTTACAAATTTTTACAAGAGACCAGTGCTTTAAATTTTTTGTTTGTTTGATAATGGTAACACCATTGATAAAGGTAGTTTTATTGCTACATTTGGACATTGTCAGCCATTATTATTTCCTATTTTTAAATTTTATTTATCTTTGATAGATTACTTAAATGTTGGGTTAAAATTTTCCTCAATAAATCAATATTAATATGTATTTTAAGTGGGTTTAACTTTGCTTCGAATATGTACAATTACCATTTCAACTTCAAGGTTAAAAAACTTTAAATACAATCTTAAGCTAAACTATTTCTCTGGGGTTACTAGAATACTAAATATGACACAACTTTTATATCAACAAGCTTTGGATAGAAATCTTGGAACTAAAATATCATGTAAAATTCTTTTATTTATTCATGTATGTATGTATTTGTTTGTTTATTTATTTATTTATTTTGAGATGGAGTCTTGCTCTGTTGCCAGACTGGAGTGCAGTGGTGCAATCTCAGCTCACTGCAACTTCCACCTCCCAGGTTCAAGTCGTTATTCTGCCTCAGTCTCCTGAGTAGGTGGGACTACAGGCACGCCACCACACCCAGCTAATTTTTACATTTTTAGTAGAGACAGGGTTCACCATGTTGGCCAGGATGGTCTTGATCTCTTGACCTTGTGATCTGCCTGCCTCAGCCTCCCAAAGTGCTGGGATTACAGGCTTGAGCCACCACACCCAGCCAACATCATATAAAATTCTAAGTGTCTATATAAAAAATGAAAGCTATATTGCCAAAAAGAATTATTCTACTTATGTATGTCTATGAACATATTAATAGAAAGAATTATTCTATTTATGTATGTCTTTGAACATATTAATATCATAATCTAATTGATAATATTAAGTACTATATGTTTAAAATATTTTCTTTTTAGTAGCAATGTGCAGACCTATTCCCAAAGGCATTCATATCTCTTTAATACTAAACCAAGTACTTGTTAAAGCAGCAATAGTTGAAGCCAAATAAATATTCAAAACGTATTTGACAAATTTTGTTTTTCAATCAAAAATTTACATATGTAAACAACATTCATATTCATAGGAAAATAACATTTTCATTTAGAAGACACTTGTTAATGTAGATAAAAGTCTAAATTCATTTTCTGATGTATCTGTGTGTAAAAAACTTTAAGGACATGGCATTTTCTATTTTTAAAAATGTAAGAGCGACTGCAGTGATTACCTTCCTCATCTCCATTTTCCCATGGCTTCCAGATCGCAGGGATCACACCAGGTCAAACAGCCACTGCTGCTATTTTTAGGACTACAGTCTTAGAGCTATAAGAGAACTTGAAAAACATCAGGTGCAAGCTTACCAGTTTAGATAGAAAAAAAGAATTCCTTTGGGAGATTAATACTGAAGTAGATCATCCAGGTCCCCTTTTTCTCATTCCACTATTGGTTCATCAGCCTCACACTGTTTACTTATGCTATCCTCATTTCCAAGGTCAATCCAAAGTTTTATTGTCACCTTCCACAAGGTAGTAGAAAGTTTTTATTTCTTTACTATTCACATGACTGATGTAATTTCATGACCATGATGTCATATATAAACATAAGATGTAGCAAAAACCCCAAATTGCTTTAACAATGAAAATTCCAATAAAATGATGGAAATTCCAATAAAACATATCTCTTACTGTACTTGTCTTTATAATGCAAAAAAAGTTACAGAGTGACATTAGGAAAGTTACAGGTACTTTTTTGACTTATAATTAGCGAATGATTTCATTTTGACACATAACTTTACTTTTAACGTGAAAAATACATCTTAAACTGTATTATTTTTATCTTTCATAAGTGTGATGTAATTCTATGTGTTACTGACACCAAGAGATTTCCCATAAATTGGGTGATTCATCCAAAAATATATGATCCAGTCACATTAAAAATGGAAATATATGTTAAACTATATGTTATAAATGTTACTTTAAATATTGAAATGCTAAATTAATTTAAGTTATTTTTATATTCATTTTTTTGTTAGCATATATTTTATTACACAGATTTCTGATAACTGTCTTGTGGGGGTGGAGAGCATGGTATAATGTCAGAATCCAGCTCTGTCATTTCTTAGTGGTGTGTCATTGGACAAATTCTTAACCTCTTTGAGCCTGGATAACAACATCTAGATGTTTCTTCATTTGTTTGCTTGGTTAGAGGCAGGATCTTGTGCTGCCACCCAGGCTGGAATGCAGTGGCACAATCATGGTTCACTGCAGCCTTGAAATCCTGGGCTCAGGTAATCCTCCTTTCTCAGTCTCCCAGGTAGCTGGAAGTACAGGCAAGTGCCACCATGCCTGGCTAATTTTAAATTTTCTGCAGAGATGGAATCTTGCTGTTTTGCTCAGCCTGGTCTCAAACTCCTGGTCTCAACAAATCCTTCTGCCAGGGCTTCCCAAAAATGCTGGATTACAGGCATCAGCCACGCTGGACCTGGCTGTAATTAATAATCTAATAACTATTCATAATGTTCAATTAATAGGTATTAAATAGGTACTTTAATATTATCATTATCATATTAGCAATAATGTAATCACGTGAATATTCATAATCTGATAGTTAATTAACAATTAGAAAATATATAAGTGAAATGTCAAACACCTGTAAAACAAAAAAATCTTCTGTATAATGAATTTACAAAGAACAAGATTATTTAGACAAGAGGCTGAAATATTTAAAATCAAATTCTGTACAAGCAAATTAATTTTGTTTAGTGCAGGATATCTGGTTCTTGTTGCAGAAACCATTCCACCAACAACAGAATAAAAACTGAAGAAACCAAATTTATTCTCCCAGGTAATTCAGTTCTACTGAATATATACGGACACTTCAAATCAACTACAGAATGATCTTATTAACATAGAATCTGTATTCTTTTTGTAATTTATTATTTTAAAACAATTTTTATTGATGCATAATAGATGTACATAGTTCCGGGGTACATGTGATAATTTAATCCACTCATATAATTTGTAAAGATCAAATCAGTGTACTTGGGACATCCATCATCTTAAATATTTGTCTTTTCCTTATGCTAGAAACATGCAAATTATACTCTTCTAGCTATTTCAAAATGTACAATAGATAGTTGTAAACTATAGTCACCCTGGTGATTTCACAAACATTAGGTCTTATTTCCTCTTTCAAACCTTATATTCATTACCATTACTAAGCCTCTCTTCATCTCCCCCTGTACCCTATCCTTGTCAGCCTTTGGTAACCACAAACTAACTTTCTACCTTCATGAAATCAATTTCTTTTTTTTAGCTCCCACATATGAGTGAAAACACGCAATATTTGTCTTTCTGTGCTTGGCTTATTTCAGTAAATATAACAACCCGCAGTTCCATCCATGTTACTTCAAATGAAAAGATTTCATTTTTCATTATGATTGAATTATATTTCATTGTGTATGTATACCACGTTTTCTTTATACATTTATTCATTGATAGGCATTTAGGTTGATTTCCTATTGTGGCCATTGTGAGTAGTGTTGCAATAAACATGGAAGTACAGATATCTCTTTGATACATTGATTTCCTTTCTTTTGGATATGTACCCACTAGCAGAACTGCTGGATCATATGGTAGTTCTAGTTTTAGTTTCATGAGGAACCTCCATGCTGTTCTCCAGGGTGGTTGTACTAATATACATTCCCACTAACAGTGTACAAGAATTTATCTTTCTATCTTCTCCAGCATTCATTGTTTTCTGTCTTTTAGGATGGAGTGAGCTGATATCTCATTGTGATTTTGATCCGCATTTCTCTAATAAACATTTTTTCATATACCTGTTGATCATTTGTATATCTTCTTTTGATAAATGTCTATTCAGATCATTTGCCCATTTTTTAATTGAGTTATTTATTTTTTGCTATTGAGTTGTTTGAATTCCTTGGATATTTTGGTTATTAATCCCTTGTCAGATGGATAGTTTGCAAATATTTTTTTCCCATTCTGTGAGTTCGCTTTGTTGATCGTTTCCTTTGCTGGGTAGAAGCTTTTTAGCTTAATACAATCCCATTTCTCTATTTTTATTTTGGTAATCTCTGCTTTTGATGTCTTACACAAAAATCTTTGCCCAGACCAATGTCTTAGAATGTTTCCCCAATTATATTTTTCTAGTACATCCATAGTTTCCAGTCTGAGATTTAAATCTTTCAATACATTTTGATTGGATTTTTGTGTATGGTGAGAGATAGGCATCTAGTTTTATTCTTCTGCAACATGGTTATGCAGTTTTCCTGGCACCATTTATTGAAAGAAACTGTCCTTTCCCTATTGTATGTTCTTGTTGCCTTTGTCAAAGATGAGTTGGTTATAAAGATAAAGAAACTGCCCTTTCCCTATTGCATGTTCTCGTTGCTTTTGTCAAAGATGAGTTGGTTATAAATATATAGATTTATATCTAGTTTCTTTTTTCTGTTTGATTGGTTTATGTGTCAGTTTTTATGCCAGTGCCATGCTTATTTGGTTACTACAGGTTTGTATTATATTTTGTTGTCAGGTACGGTGATGCCTCCAGCTTTGTTATTTTTGCTTCTTATTCCTTTGGCTATTCAGGGTCTTTTGTTGTTCCATGTAAATATTACATTTTTGTCCATTTCTGTGAAGAATGTCATTGCTATTATAATAGAGATTTCATTGAATCTGGAAATTGTTTCGCGTGGTATTTGCATTTTAACAATAATAATTCTTTTAACCCATGAGCATGGAAAATCTTTTCAATTTTTGTGTCCTCTTCAATTTCTTTCATCATTGTTTTATAATTAGTTTTCCTTATATAGATCTTTGACTTTGGTTCAATGGATTTCTAGGTATTTATATTCTTTGTAGCTATTGCAATGGGATTGCTTGTTTGATTTCTTTTTCAGGTTTTTCGCTATTGGCATATATAAATGCTACTGGTTTTTGCATGTTGATTTTGTATACTGCAACTTTACTAAGTTTGTTTAACAGTTTTAATAGTTTTTTTTGTGTGGAATCTTTAGGTTTTTTTAAGCATAAGATCCTGTGGTCTGCAAAAAAGGCTAAGTTGACATATTTCTTTGCAATATGGATGCCCTTTGTTTCTTTCTCTTGCCTGATTACTCTGGTCAAGACTTCCAGTATTATGTTGAATAAAATTGGTGAAAGTGGGCATCTTTGTCTCGTTCCAGTCTTTAGAGGAAAGACTTTCCAATTGTTCCCCATTCAGTGTAATATTAGCTGTGGTTTTGTCATATATTGCCTTTATTATTTTGAGATATGTTTCTTCCATACTCAATTTGATGAAGATTTTTATCATAAATTGTTGGTGAATTTTATCAAATGCTTTTTTGGCATCAACTGAAATAATCATATTGTTTTTGTTCTTGGTTCTGTTAATATGGTATACATGTTCATTTGTTTGTGTATGTTGAACCATCCTTGCATGTCTGGAATGAATCCCTCTTGATCGTAGTGAATGTTCCTTTTAATATGTTGTAAAATTTGGTTTGCTAGTTTTTTGTTGAGAATGTTTGCATCTATGTTCATCAGTGATATTGGCCTGTAGTTTTATTATATGTGTGTGTGTGTCCTTGTCTGGTTTTGGTGTCAGGGTAATGCTGGCCTCATAGAATGAGTTTGGAAGTATTCCCTCTTCTTCAGTATTTTGTAAGAATTTGAGTAGAACTGGCATTAGTTCATTTTTATATGTTTTGTAAAATTTACCAGTGAAGTCATCAGGTCTCAGACTTTTCTTTAGAATGGAAGACTTATTTTTACTGTAGCTTTGATATTGTTACTCCTTATTGTTTGTTGAAGTTTTCTATTTCTTTACTGTTCAATCTTGGTAGGTTGTGTGTTTCCAGGAATTTACCCATTTCTTCTAAGTTTAAAATTTATTGACATGTAAGTGTTCATAATAGTCTCTAATGATTCTTTACATTCCTGTAGCCTCAGTGGTTATGTTTCCTTTTTCATTTTTGAAATTATTTATTTGATCTTCTTTTTTTCTAAGTTAGTCCAGCTTAAATGTTTGCCAATTTTATTTATCTTTTCTAAAAAACAAACTTTTCATTTCATTGATCATGTGTCTTCTTTTTGGTATCAATTTTACTTATTTCTGCTCTGATCTGTATTATTTCTCTCCTTTTACTAATTCTGAGCTTGGTTTGTTCTTGCTTTTCTAGTTCTTTCAGGTGCATTTGAAGTCTTTCTACTTTTTTGATATAAGCATTTATTGCTATATACTTCCCTCTTAGTACTGCTTTTGCTGTATCCCATAGATTTTGGCATGTTCTATTTCTATTTTCATTTTTTTCAAGAAATTGTTTAATTTTATTTTTGTAGTTATTCATAGTTTCTTCATCGATCCATTGGTTATTCAGAAACTTATTGTTCAATTTCCATGTTTTTGTGTTTTTTCTGAGGATGCTTTCATATACTGATTTCCAGTACTATTTCATTGTGGTCAGAAAAGATAACTGATGTGATTTTTACTTTTTTGAAGTTGTTCAGACATGTGTTATGGCATAAGACATGGTCTAACCTTGAGAATGTTCCATGTGCTGATGAAAGGAATGTGGGTAAAACGTTTTGTAAATGTCAATTGGGGCAAGTTTGTAGTTTAACTTCAGTATATATTAGGTCTAGTGTTCAGTTTGATCTTTCTTTGTTGATTTTCTGTCTATATGATCTGTTTATTACTGAGAGTAGGGTGTTAAAATTCCTTCCTATTATTACATTACAGTCTATCTTTCCCATTAGATCTATTAAATGTTTGTTTGATATACTTGGAAGCATTGGTGTTGGGTACATAAATATTTATAATGTAATAGCTTGCTGAATTGACCTCTTTATTATTATATAGTGATCTTTTTACCTTTCTTACAGTATTTGACTTATAGTCTATTTCCTCTGATATAAGTATAGTTACTTCTGCTCTATTTTGATTTCTAATTGCATGGAATATCTTTTACCACACTTTCACTTTCAGTCTACATGTGTCTTTATAGGTGAAGTAGGTTTCATGTAGGCAACATGTAGTTGGGTCTTATTTCTTTATCCTTTCAGCCACTCTATGTCTTTCTATTGGCGAACTAAGTCCATTTACATTCAGTGTTATTATTGATAAGTTATGACTTACCTACTGCCATTCTGTTATTTGTTTTCTGGTAATTCTGTAACTCTTCATTTTTTTCACTGTCTTTAATTGCAGTTAAGTGTTTTTCTCTGGTTGTATGCTTTAATTAATTGCTTTTTATTTTTAGTGAATCTATTATAGGTTTTTGCACTGTGATTACCATGAGGCTTACAAAAATACCATATAAATGTTATTTTAAAGAAATGACAATTTACATCAGATCACAAAGAAATTAACAAAAACAAAGAAAAACCTTTAAATTCACCACATTAATTCTATTCCCCTTATATTTTGACTTTCAGTAGTGTCATTTACATATTTTTATATTACTACCAGTTAACAGGTTGTTGTAGCTGTTATTATTTTTGATAGATTTGTCTTTTTGTCTTTGCATTAGAGTTATGAGGCAATTACAAACCACAATTACAGTATTAGAATGTTCTGGATTTGTCTGTATATTTAACTTTACTCATGAGTTTTATACCTTCAAACTCTCGTAAGACAGGTCTGGTGGTGATGTATTTTCTCAGTGTTGATTTGTCTGGGAAAGATGATCTCTCCTTCGTATTTGAAGGATAACTTTGCTGGATAGAGCATTCTTGTATGGCAGGAATTTTTTTTCTTTCAGCAGTTTGAAAATGTTGTTACACTCCCTGCTGGCTTGTATGGTTTCCACTGAGAAGTTTTCTGCCAGATGAATTAGAGCTTCTTTATATGTTATTTGCTTCTTTTTTCTTGCTGCTCCTAAGATTCTTTTTTTGTCTTTGACTTTTGAGAGTTTGATCATTATACAACTTGGGGTAGTCTTATTTGCACCAAATCTGTTTGGGGTTCTCTGATCTTCTTGTACCTAAATATTTTTCATCTTTCTCAAGTTTTGAAAATTTGTCTATTCTTTAAATAAACTTTCTATCTTTTGCTCTTTCTCAACTGTCTCTTGAATGTCAATAATTATCACATTTGGTCTTTTGCAGTAATTTTCTACATCTTGTAGATGGTCTTTGTTCCTTTTCTCTCTTTTCTTTTCTCCTCTGACTGTGTATTTTTAAGCATCTGTCTTTGAGTTTACTAATTTATTCCTCTGCTTGACTCATTCTGCTGTTGAGAGCCTCTAATGAATTTTCTAGTTCAGAAAATGTTTATTAGTTCCAAAATGTCTGTTTGATTTTTAAAATTTCAGTCTCTTTGTTACATATTTCCGATAAATATCTGAATTGCTTTTCTGTGTTATCTTGGAGAATGCTGAGTTTCCTTAAAAATGCTATTTTGAATTTTTGGTCAGAGATCTCACATATCACACTCTTGTTAAGTCAGTTGCTGCTTCCTTGTTTTTTTCTGTTTGCAGAGGTCATGGATTCCTGTTGTTTCTTGTGGATATATGTCTATGTCTTTGCAGTGAAGAATTAGTTATTTGTTCCAGCCTTCTCTCTCTGACTTCTTTTGGTTTTAATTGGATGTAATTGCTTAGAGATTCTTTACCACTAGGTCACTCACCTCTTTTTGGCTCTAGATGGTGCCTTAAGCCTGGGTTCAACTTAACTCTAGTAAATGATGAGAATTCTGCCTGTCCTGAATGGGGGAGGTCTCAAAGGAGATAGCTTGTTATTGTGGGAAGCCTGGCTAGGGATTCATGCCCAGGGGACCTGTGGAATGTACCTTGTATGGTGTGATGCTGCTGAAAAGCCACTCTGATTTGGCATCTCCTTTGGCTAAGTTACAGAGCAGAGTTTCCAGGGCTGGGAACAGTAGT
This sequence comes from Homo sapiens, assembly GCF_000001405.40. Lineage (NCBI taxonomy): Eukaryota > Metazoa > Chordata > Mammalia > Primates > Hominidae > Homo > Homo sapiens. Next base: position 9,354,328 of record NC_000006.12, on the reverse strand, counting down.
CCTGCCTCCCTCCTTTGTCTCTGCCTGTCCTTGGGCATATCTTTCCCTTCCAGCCCTCACAATGCTTTTCAAGGGTTATGGCTGGAACAGATCTCCTGCCAGGGAATCCAAGATGGTGGGGAAGCTGGTTGTCCACTTTGAGCTCACTTTTTTCAGTGTAGAAACCATAAGCTAAGGGAAATTTTCCAGATACTTTGTGACAGGCAGAATGAGGGAAGGCATGTTGTGGATGTGGAAGTCTACTTCTCTTACCATCTCCTCAGTTTTTCACTTCTCTGTGGCCCCAGGATCTGTCTCATTGTCATATTTTAGTTCTAGGATATTACTGGTGCTAATCTTGATGGTGTATATTTGGTTTTCATTTTCTGTATGGAGGGAAAGGAAATACAACTCGCCTCCAAGCTTACATTTTGAAACTGGACATCCCTATCATTATTTATTTTTAAGTACAAATCTGAATCAATTTTAGATCACAGTAGCATTTATAACATAAATATTTTTTTAAATTTCCCTCTAAAGACTTTTAGGGTCCTCAGTTACTTTCAAGGATTACTATTCTCTTGCTCGGATATTCTCCCAGAATATAGAAACAGAGTTGACATATACTGCACTATTTCCAAAGATACTTCAGTAAGTTCTCAGGCCTCTTGTCTAAAACCACACAGAGATAATGAGTTAAACTGACTTTACATATCAGTCTCACTTATATGTGGAATCTAAAAACAGTGTCAAAGTCATAGAAGCAGAGAGCTGACAGGAGCTGGGGAGCAAGGGAAAGAGAGACATGTAGGTCAAAGGGTACCAACTTTCAGTTATCAGATGAATAAGTTCTGTGATCTAATGTACAGAATGCTGATTACAATTAACAATACAGTATTGTTTACTTGAAATTTGCAAAAAGAATAGATCCTAAGTGTCTGTATCTCTCTCTCTCTCTCTCTCTCTCTCTCTCTCTCTCACACACACACACACACACACACATAATGATAACATAGTGTGGTGACAGGTGTATTAATTAATTTGTGGAAATCTTTTCACAATGTATATATATATATAAAATCGTTGTGTTATACATCCTAAATATATACAATGTTTTGTCAATTATATCTCAATAAATTTTGGGAAAAATAATAAAAGATGTTTTTAAGAAATGGTTTAAGATGTTTCCACAACACACACAAAAATGAAAGAAATTAGAGGTTTACACATTCACCCATTCATTCATCCATGTTTTGACTCAATCAACAAAGATTAATAAAGCAACTACCACATCAAGCCTCAAGGAAGTGGATGAAGAAGGAACGTTTCCTCCTCTCCATAAGACCACGGGAGTACTCCTCTCACAACTCTACCAGCCCGAGTGAAGAAGGTTCAAAGAAAGCAGTTTTAAAAACCATAATTAAAAGAATATAATTTTATATAAAACCTTATCAAATACTTCATTTTAGCAAGCAAAAATATTTGTATGAATAGCATTCTAAAATTAATATTCAAATTTAGCATTATTTTAGTACAAATCTCCTGAATTTACGGTAATATTTTTAAAACGAACCAATCACCTGAAGCTCAATTTCCTGTCATAGATCATGAGAACTACCACAAAGTTCTGAACTTGTTTACTTTGATTACCCCAACAGACCAACAGAACCTGAGAATCTATCAAGGTGAACCACAGAACCTTCTCATTTTGTACTTAGAGGTTTTGTCCGAGGTATTTCCACTAAGAACAAGGACCTGAAGTCATCTAAAGCTAAAAGAAGAAATGGAGTCTTAAAATCTCAAGGATGCTCTTTCCAGCTTCATCATCTGTTATATGGTCTTAGGCAAGCCATTCAACTTATTAGAACTTTGTATGAGTCCATTCACATACTGCTATGAAGAAATCCCTGGGACCATGTAATTATAAAGAAAAGAGGTTTAATTGGCTGATGGTTCACAGGCTGTACAGGAAGCATCACTGGGAAAGCCTCAGGAAACTTACAATCATGGCAGAAGGCAATAGGGAAGCAGGCACATCTTCACACGGCCAGAGCAGGAGAAAGAGGAGGGGAGGTATTACACTCTTCTAAACAACCAAATCTCATGATAACTCACTATCAGGAAAACAGCACCAAAGGGGAAATTTACCCTCATGATCCAATTTACCTTCCACCAGGCCCTACCTCCAACATTGGGGATTACAATTTGACATGTGATTTGGGTAGGGACACAGACCCAACTCACATGACACTTCTATTCACTTAAAAAAAATCAAGATAATAATCATATTGTTGGTTTAGCGGTAATTAATTGACAAATGCATGGAAAAGGATTTGGTCAATATTCGCTGTCAGTTATTATTACACAGACCATCACTGTAAATGTTCTAAGAAAAATAGTTTTCATCTTCTTTTGCATTTCTTTCACAACATGTTTCCCTCTCTATTAGAAAAAAAAAAAATCACATAAGTACATCTTGTTACTTAAGACAGAATTTCAAGTCACTGAGTTGTCACTAAAAGAAGACATGATTTTAACAACTGCTTCTTTATCTTAAGTAATATGTGATTGATCTTTCTGGACATAAAAGACCACAATAACAACAGGAGCCATTTCCCAAAGTCCCTTAGGAGCAAACGGAGCCCATTCAGTGGCTGCCCCAGAGCAGTTGTCATTTGTGGGTCCATGTCACAGCTGAGATGGCACTAGATGATCTCCAGAGACTGACAGGTCAGGAAGGCAAATTATCCCCATTGTGAGAGTGGGTAGAAATTTCTATACCCTTTGACAATAGCTGTAGGAGGAGCTCCAGCCTGTCAGATCCCAAGGCTATGGAGAGCTCACAACACTAGGGTCCAATTGTGAGGGCGCTGTCTGGCAGCACAGGGCAATCAGGAGAAAGAGAAATCTCATCTGAATTTGCCACAGTTTGAGCCAGATCAGATGTCTGGGGAGCGCTGATTGGCAGGGAGGAATATAGGACATCATGACACATATGAAAGCATGAAGACCAAACGACGTATCCTTAAGACTTGATATCAGGCAATGCCTGATCTTTCCCAGGCTTACTAGGGATGGTGTTTTGATGATTGGCATACATGATTAGTCTCGACATATGTAAGAGAAAGGGTGATGCTCCAATGTACCACTCATGTGTCACAACTTGCTTTTTTGCTGTTTTGAATAGGAAGACTAGAGTGAAGCATGCTTCAGGAGGGGTGATGGAGAGCTTAGGAGCCCACAGAAGCAAACCAGTCACTCTTTCCTGGCTATTTCGCTGGGCAGAGCTCTTGAGCTTCTGTTTATCACATACATGATCTTGAATTACTAGAGTTAGCCTATAACCTCTGCAAAAGCAAGGGTTGTGAATTCTTCATCTTGACCACCTACCTTTCTGACATTCAGTTCTTCACTCAAAACCCATCACCTTGAATAGGGTCTCAGCATGTGTAGTGACTGATATTCAATTTAAATTAAGTCACAATAGTTCTTCTTTTGATGGGTTACACGACAGCATAATCCTAGTCATAATAATAGGCTGCCAAAGGATCTGCTGCTCCTGTCATGATGGAGAAGCTGCCAGCAACCTGATGGATACAGAAAGTACACTAAGCCTGCCAGCCAGAAGACTGAGATCCGAGGACCAATGACTATGCTGGTCTGCTGTGATTTGTACTAGCAACACGGATGCTCCATGCCGTTTCTTCCACTTACTCCATTCTGATTTCACTTCTTATAAACTGACATCACATCAACAACATTACTCAAAGTGAGTCCAGGGAAAGAATTTTTATCTTTTTCGCTTTTGCAGTATAGGAAGACACACTGGAAAGTCATTGGAACAGATATTGAGCAAGCCAATTCACAGCATCTGATGCTGCCCTCATCAATATCTGGCACTGTGTTAATTTCTGACTCACTATTGTCTGTCTTCCCTAATGGGACATAAGCTCCAAAAAGACAAAGATGGTTTTAGTTTTGTTCACTTTTGTGTCCATATACCTAGAACAGTGTCTGACACTCATTAGCCACTCATTACCTACTTATGAATGAAGAATGAATGGAGCACCGCATTAATGAACATGCAGCCACACTCCAAGAGAATGAAGGGAAAAGTGTTGTCTTTGGAACAAAGTTTTGCTCCAGTTAAGGCAGTAATTTTGAGAAGCATACTAATCTTCAGTTCCTTGTCTATAAATACATAGTATCTAACGCATAGTGTATTATGGGGAAATGAATGAAATAATGTTTATGAACCACTGACATGGTCTCTGTTCTATATCCATCCCATCCCACTTCTGTTCCTGAAACTTCACCCCAGAAAAAAATAAAAGAGGCAATGGAGCCTGAGATAAATACATGTATGCAGGATCCTTATTGAGAAGTGACTTCCAAGAGCAGGAGAGAAGGATGGAGAGTGGCACACAAGAAGGATTCAACATAGTTTCCATTCTGAACTGCTCATGGTCTTTCTGGTCCTCCATGCTATCTAATCCATTTACTACCAAATGCCATTCACAGTGGTGGCCAACTGCAGCCTCTGCAAGAAAAAAATTTTTAATGGGTTAATAGAATAAGTAGTAGTCCTTGTGGAGCTGGTCTTGTGGACATAATTAATGTTCATCATTTCCCTCTTTTATTACACATTCTAGATTTTATTCACCTTCCATAAGCATTTGGTTCGTCTTGGTAGCTTGATTGATAGGGAAATATGACCTGTATGTAAACTGATGTTTACATAACACTTCAAACAGCAAGGGCAGAAAATATATTGTTTTCAAATGTACATAATATACTCACCAAGGTTGACCATTTACTGGGCCATAAAATAAGTTTCAATACTCTTAAAATGATTGAGATCACACAGAGTGTGGCCCTTTGACCACTGGAATTGAATTAGAAATGTATAACACTAAGATATCTAAAAAGACCACAAATACCAGAAATCAAATAAATACTGCATGTCTGCATAATCCATGGGTCCAAGAAGAAATCAAAGGGAAAATTAGAAATGATTTCAAACTGAATGAAAATGAAAATACCTATTAAAATTTGGAAATATAACTAAAACAGTACCTAGGAGAAAATTTATAGCTTTAGGAATTTATTAGCAAGGAAGAAAGGTCTAAAATCATGTTCCATTTTGAAAAAGCTAGAAAAAGAACCAACTAAACACAAATCAAAAACAAGCATAAACAAAACATATGAAAGGAAAAAAAATAAAATAGAAAAGAGGCAAACAGAAGAAGCAAAGGCAAAATTACTGTTGGTTGCCAAAGCTATGGCCTAGCTCAAAGCTTGACCTTCCCAATGTACCTCTTCCCAATCCACCTCAGATGGGAGTCTTAGTGATTTTGCTGGTACTGCCTGTCACAGGGGATCACCTTCCACCACCCAGCTGCACTGGGGCCCCTATTGCTGTCTGACCAGCATATAAATTCAGCACCAGCATTTCATCATGAGGGTCTATTTTCTAAGGACATGCCCAGTACAATTGTCTTAACCTGTTTCCTCCAAATGCAGAGCCTAAGACAAAAGCTTAGTTTCAGATGTTTTTTTGAGAAGAGACTCCAAGAAGGAACAAAAAACAGGGATGCGACCCAGGGAAGAATGGACAAGTAATACAAGGATAAGTTCTTGAATTTCCCAGGCAATTACTAAGCATGAGTTCTCCTAAGGATCATCAGTTCTCCTTTCTGTGGGCTCTGAGATGCCCTCTGGAATGTGTGTCAGAACTGTTCACTCCGAGCCGAGCATTTGTGCATCAGCTCTCAAGACCCCCTGGTCAATTTGGTGGTGCAGGTGTCACTTGTTCACACTGTGCATGTATGAGTGCAGAGTGAGGTAACAGGGCTGTCTCATGCTGCAAGGTTAGAGAGGCTTAGAGAAGCCCCTGGGCAGGATGCATTCCTGTAGTAGTGGTTGTAGTAAGAGATAGGCTGAGAAGATTTGAAGGCATGTGCAAATGTGTCCTAACACAGACACGTACCACTCTGCCTAAGACTATTAACACTTACTAGAAATTTGTATGGAAATTTAGGCAACACTGTTAAAGTATGGCCCTGTGCATACATATTCTTGGGTGTAGACTGATGAAGGTAGATGAGAAGGCACGCTTGTAACCAGTTTTATTTGTTATAGCAACAGCTCACTAGAACCCTCAAAGGAGATTCACTCCCATTGCCCAGGCTGGAATGCAGTGGAGCCATCACAGCTCACTTTGGCATTAACTTCCCAGGCTGAAAAAGATGCTCCCACTCCAATCTCCTGAGTAGCTGGGGCTACAGCCACACACCACCACAACCGGCTAATGTTTTTTGTATTTTTAGTAGAGATGGGGTTTCATCATGTTGTCAGGCTAGTGACCTCAAGCAATCCACCCACTTCAGCCTCCCAAAATACTGGGATAACAGGTATGAACGACTGCATGCGGCCAGCTCATATATTTTTTAAAACTCCCCATCATAGTGGAAATTTTATAATTTTAAAATTCTTGCAGAACATGTGAAATTGCAACTTATTTTTAATAATGAATTTAGCTGATTATACAAATTTTCAATGACTCCATAATGTTTCCAAGAGGCAAAGTATTTTTGTCATTCTCCTTTTTCTCACTCATGATGAGACCAATATGCCTGGCGGATCAACCCCTTGCTTGTTTGTGGTCTCTAGCACAGCAAACACAACCTCATGGCTGTCACCTGTCAATATCCATTTAGCTCCTCATTATGTTGAATCTCTGGATTCCTAAGGCTTCATAGAAAGAATATGTACATCTATTAAACACCTACTATCTGTGAAGCACTATGCTAGGCATTCTTACATGCCTAAAATATATGTCTACAAATAGTTTGTTTAATCTCTGCAACAACCCTGGAAGTAGATATATTCCTCATTTTACAAATGAGAAAAAGAGGTTCAAAGAGATTTTAAGTTATACAAATTCACATGTTAAATTTAGACTGAGATTTAGACTCCCTGGATGCTGCTCTTTCCTCCATATCCTTATGAACTCTTATAGCTCGAGTGCCTAAAAAGGTGCTATATTAATCATGCCTCTTTATTCTGTTTTTTGGTGATGCTTTGACATCTTGGGGCCTTGATGACCTTAAAGGGAGTGCCCTTCCCAGGGCTACCTAACTCCTAAAGATAACAAAGAGACTCACCTGTGAGCATGCCTTTCAAATGCAAACCAACGAATGCAGACCCAGAACCCCAACCACATCCTTTGTCAGACTCATACTCTAGGCCACTGTTTCCCAGGAACAGCTCCTACACCCCAGCGCTCATTGAAATTATTCCAACTAGCCAATGCTAAACCTGCTTACTCTGCCCTGCTGTTTTCTTCCTGCAGGAACCACAGTAGAGACTCTTGGCCACATTCCCTTCCACCCTGCTTCCTGACCAACTCTGCTGCTTCTCTGTGTGCCACCCCACCCCCACCCTCCATGGTGTGGTGTGTACCCTGCTCTCCAGATCTGTGAGAATAACAAACTATCTTTTCAATGGTGTCATCTGTTGACTTTATCATACCTGATTAGTAATAGAGACCTTCTTTTAAAATAGGTGCTGGCACATGGAAGGCAGGCAATCAAGGCTTGTTGAGATGAAATAATAGAAAACAGTGGATAAGAAACAATAAAAAAGCAAAACATCATCTACTATTAGTTCATTGTATACATAGATGCACATAAAGCTGGGCGTGGTGGCTCATGCCTGTAATCCCAGCACTTTGGGAGGCCAAGGTGGGTAGATCACCTGAGGTCAGGAGTTCAAGACCAGCCTGCACAACATGGAGAAACTCCATCTCTACTAAAAATACAAAAATTAGCCAGGTGTGGTGGCAGGCGCCTGTAATCCCAGCTACTATGGAGACTGAGGCAGGAGAATCACTTGAACCTGGGGGGCGGAGGTTGCAGTGAGCTGAGATCGCACCACTTCACTCCAGCCTGGGCAAAAGAGCGAAACTCCATCTAAAAAAAAAAAAAAAGGATGCACATAGTATAGATAAATAAGCACGAATGATCAAATAGACCACCATAATAAAATCCATCAATTTTACAGCCCAGCAAATCCATGTTTGATTTGGCAGAAATTTCACATTCAATACTACAGCTGCTAACATTTCCTCATTTATAGTGTGATATAGAGTATAGGATTATCCATTCTCTCCACTGCGTCATGTTTGGGCTCTGCGTGTACTCTCCTCTAGAAGTCTTCCGCTGTGCTGCTCGACACTTGCTGTAGTGGATGGCTAGGACACTGACAATTCTGCTACCAATTCTGGAATCTACTTTAGTGATTTTAGAAACAATGGAAAAAGTTGATATTATATTCAGTGCTGAAAATGCAGATTTTCAATTTCTTCTTTTCCTCTTAAAAATCATTGGCAACTTGAACACATCAGTTGCTCAGGATATTATTTCTATGTAATCTGAAGCTATTTAGAGGCAGCTTCTACATAAGATATTAGCCAATCCACCTGCAAGAGTGGAATTCTTTCTTTTCAGTTAAAATAAAAGAGGCTATTTTATAGATTATTCTTTGGTCTCATAGATTGGGTTAAACCGTTTAGAATGAAAAATTTATGAAGTTGAGTGGAAAAATAACATTTGTCTAATGGATATAATTTCCTATTTCAATCAACCATTTTTCAAACTCCTACTATGTGGAGAGAATTGTTACATGCTTTACACAGTTTTACGGAGCTCAACCAAATTTGGTGCAATGTCTCTGAAGAAAAAAGTCTTCCGTTGAAAAAAGTGCATTTCATTCAGAGACTTGACAAGAAAGCTGCAGACAGAAAGTCACCTGTTTTAACCTGCAATATAAAATAGTGGTTTCTTCTTTCTTATTTGTTCATGGCTTGTTTGACTTGTACTGAAAGATTAACCATAGTCTGCATTTAGAAATTTTCTTAGATAAAAAGTTTTCCAATATAGCAACTAATGAAATGCTCAGTGGGATCAGAGCTGCATTCTGGCTCCATAATTGAGGGGATAATGTGTGCCACTCGCCTAAGTACTGTATTAGTCAAATGCCTAGAAACCTGTTCACCTCCATTCCTGACTTGAAAATTGCAGAATTATGCTCCCTCCAGGTTCATTTATACACAATTAAACACAATGCATGTAATTTTCTAAGTGCAATAATTGGTGTTTCACCATTTTTTTATAGCAAAGTTGACTTGAATAAAAGGCTACTGAGATATTTTAGGTTTCCACTGAGCTTGGCTTGTATACGTTTTAGAGACAGATGTATTTAAGTTCAGTTAAAATAGGCAGGAGAAAGGGGTATAGGACTGAATACCCTACTTTAAACCTAAAACAAAATATGCATGAGTGTAGGGTCTGAAGTGAGGGAGAAGGCTGGAAACATTTGGTTTTACACTTTTGACCATTACATTCTGAATAAAGAATTATTTTTCAAAGATAAGGAAAATTCCCCTCACATTAAAAAAAAATTGCAATGTTTCCCAAGCAAATAGAAATCCTCATTTTATGTTGCTATCCTACAGTAAATTAACAACCGTAGTATCATTCATGTGCACAATCCATTTACCTTTTCAGCATATGGATCATTTGTTCATCTCAAAGGAATTTCTGAGAGTGGAAAAAGCGGGATGTGTATGTAGAAGAAAATAACAATTTGTACCAAAGAGAGTATCAAGAGTTCAGCTTATAACTTCACAAAAGCTTGCAGATAAATATGACTTCAACTAACTTGTCATGCTTGCCATTAAAATAACTGGATAGTCCTCCTCTCAATGAGATCGCATTTCCCAAACCATCTGGTCCACTGTGAATGGTGTTGCATAGAGGCTCACTTCCTATAAGCAACAAAAACAATGATCAGAGACAAGTTATTTCTATTTGTTTAAATGCATTCTATAAGGTATATTCTTTCTGGCCTTACTTTTTCTTTTTCTGCAGATGAAACATTAACACCAGTAAAACATGGTCCTTTTAGGAGATGGATGTTTAAATAAATGTAACAAAAGCCAGCTAAGATGGTATTGTATGTCCCTTAAATGGTGTTGCATCTCTCTTAATTCCTTTGTAAATAGACAGTGAATTAAAAACAAAGAATAAGATAAACATTCTTATATCTTTTTTTTGGTTCAAGAGAAGGACTGTAAGGAAAAGGACATGTATGTATATACACACGCACACACATGCACATGCATGCGCAATATATACAGATTCAGAATGTTTCATCGTGGCTCCTCTTCACTGAGAGAGAGTATCCTTTAAATGCATTCTGGGAAAGAGTTTTCTGTATCAATCCAGAATATCTGAGTGCAGAAATTGAGGAGGATAAGGGATTGGCAGAGAAAACAGTCACAAGGGCAGTAGTCTTGGTTCCAGAAACCTAGAAACACATTAACTGTCATAGGTCACACAAAAATTTCTGAAACACCAACCTCAGGAGTTTTAGAAAAAACCAGCTTCTACCCAAGACAAGGTAAAGCTGGGTGCTGACTTTATGCTCTCTCAGTAAGCATCCCACTATGGATGGTACTGTTCTCAATCATTCAGAGGACTCTTTGTCACCTACAGTCTGTGGCACATTCAGCACAGATTGAAGTGAGTTCCCCTTGGGTTCAATGCGCCTAGAGACTGAAAAAAAAGCCAGCCTTTCTATTTTCAGTGCCCTTTGTAGTCCAAAGGCTTAGCTATAAACCAGCCAGTGAAACTTAATTACATAATAGAGGTTTACATGGATGTGGCAGCGCTGCTTTTGAACAAGAGTGGGTTTGACTTTTAGCTGTATATAAATATTTTTACTAGTAGATTAATTGTGACCAAGCAGCCCCATCCCTAAATTCCTGGCCACCATATGCAAGAGACAGGACTACACTCAGCTGTCCACTAAGAGTAAGCACTGCTGATGGTCTCCAGGAAATAGAACATGCGCCCTCTGGGACCTGCTGGCAGAAATCCTTTCTTCCCAGTGTGTACCCAATTAACTCTCAACACCTCACTACCCTTTTCTGCAAGAGTAGAAGCTGCATGGAGGAAGTAGGGTCTGTAACCCTTTTTTTCGTTGTGTAGAACCCTCGTCTTTCATGGCCACTGGACTCTGGGGAAGGAGAGCTAACATCAAAGCTGCTTTACATCTTGTCTATATCTGCTAAGACATCTTGTCTATATCTGCTAGGTGAAGACCATCCATTTATGAGGAAGCAAACTATCCACCAAACAATTTTTCCATTCTTGAAACTTTATTATCATTCCTAAATCAGATGAATTAAAATGGGATGGTAGCGGCCGCTTTTACACACGTCAGTTATTTGTTCAGTCAGAGGTGTTGAAGTTGTTGAATCACATCCTCGCACAGCATCTGAATAGGCAGGACCAGGAGCAGCCTGCCTCGCCACACCTTGTCCTTCTCTCTTCTAATCTCACCCAAGTTTGTGCTGTCAGAAAGGGACATCTCCTTGCTGGCCCCAGGTTCACTCCCTCATTTGCTCATGTTTTTCAGAATTGTTATACAAAAACGGGGGTTTATTTTCACTGTGCTGTTTATTCTTAAGCATATTTAAACATTTTTCTTGCTTAGTAAGAAGTTGAATGCTAGAAGTCAAGAAGGCAATGATGATCTAAGACAAGTTATTTCTATTTTATTTTCCTTAAAAAGGCATTCTATAAAGTATATTCTTTCTGGCTTTACTCTTTCTTTTTTCTGCAGGTGAGACATTAACACCAATACAACATTCTCCTTTCAGGAGATGGATGTCTAAATAAGTGTGATAAAAGCCAGTCGAGAGAGTCTACCCATTCATCTCTAAATGATTGCACGCAGGAATTCTTACTCCTGTTTCCATTCCCTGCAGAACCTATTGCAGAGTTTGGCACAGAACTAGTCCTAAATCGCAGTTTTAGTTTTATTTCTATTTTAAAACTTGTGCCAAAGTATTATGCTAGTGCAGTGGCCCCAACCTGCGTTTTACAAACCTCAGGAGCTTTCCAATTACCTCAAAGGATACCATAATCTCAAAATTTTCTCATAAAATATTATTTTTAATTCACTTGTGAAGTTAAAAACTATGATTTTACATGATATCTTTAGACTGGAAAAATACTGCTGAAATTTTCTAAATGCTCTGGGATGTTTGTTTGACTATTCTGAGAGAGTCATACAAAATTTAAAAACAATAAAAATTTTCATAGGCCATGTATTCTAGCAGATTATGACATGTGAGATAAGAATGCTTACAAACTGTTCCTGATAGTAATCCTGACACATATGTGCATGATCTTCCATTGTCACCAATTGTCAATCAACTCATTGACACTGACTCAACTGACATTGACTCATTGGTACTGGCTTCTAATACACTACTTTAAAAGTCACTGTCATTATTTTGTAATATCTTATGTTATTTCACACACTTCTTGTAAAAAGTTTTTGTTTGAAATACTGAATTCCAGTTGATATATTTCTGTTTCAGGGCAAATGTGCTAGTAAGAATCTGTAGTCACAACTAAAACATAATATTGAAAAAAAAAAAAAGCTGACATCTGTCATATGTCATTCAACAGTTGTATGCCACACCAGTAAAAAGGAAATGAATGCATGCATGAATGAATGAATGAATCCAACAAATGCCCCAGATTACAACTTTACTAAAACTGAATTAACAACTTCAGAGTGAAGTGTTTGAAATAAGTGACTGTTTATATTCCTGGTTATATAGTCAATCAGATAATGGCATATGTGTGTGTGTGTGTGTGTGTGTGTGTGTGTAGCGGCTTAATACCAATGAACTGTTCTCTGTCTTCTTAACAATTAGGAATCCTGCTAATGTAAGTCTGAAAATGTTTAGTACAAAACAACCATTTTTCTGGCCCCAAAAATAGCAGCGAAGTGATGAACTCTATGACCTTTTTTTCTCACAGACAGCAATATCTCTGCATCATAGGGATATACATATACCTAAAAAGGTATAAACTGAGCAAAGTCTAAGGGCATTTAACGTACTGTCTGTTGAAATGCAAGGTTAATTGCTACCGGACTTTTTAAATGGATATATAACAAAACTCTTCTGGGACCTAGCTCAATTCAGCAGCATTACAATGTTGTCTTTTTTTGTTTGTTTGTTTTGTTTTATTTTGAGACAGAGTCTCACTCTGTCACCCACGCTGGAGGGCAGTGGCGTGATCTCGGCTCACTGCAACCTGTGCCTCCCAGGTTCAAGCAATTCTCCTGCCTCAGCCTCCCGTCTTTTGTTTTTTAATACTCTCCCACTATGTCTAGAAAATGAATACCACCCAATTGTTAACCATCTACCCAATTATCCTAAGGTTCACATCTCAGAAACAGTAATGTAATATTGAAAAAACAAAAAGTGATGAACTGTGACTTCTTGTCCAACTCAATGGATTGTACAATCTTTAAAATCAAGCTTTCCAATGTGCAGATTAACTTTGCCTGAGACATTAAGTCAAGTTATACCGTACACAGCTTGATTACTAGATGTAATCAAAACCAGGCCTGCTGTTTTGGACTAGAATTTTCCAGCCAGAGTAAGCACCATTATTGCCTACTCTTGTTTTTCCTGGTTTTCATCTGATTTACAGGGTAGGAAAACAAATGTTGTAAGCAAGAGAGGGCAAAGTAGGTTACATAGGAACTTGCCAGAGAGCTGGCCTCATTTTTGTCTTACCTTCTCTATATCACAAATACACCCCTGGGAGCAGGCGTCAATGGTATGCAAATCTAATTGCAAAAGTATTAAACAGAAACAACATGGATGTTTCTCTTGTAGTTAACCCTGTTAATGTTGGACAGGAAGTTGTCTAAATGTCTAATCTCTCATTGAATCAATAGTAACACATTTTAGAGAGAAGAAAGGGTAAGAGAGTGCAGGGAAAGAGTTATGGGAGAATGCCATTTCCAGATTCCTATGACGTGCCCAGAAGAATTTATTAATTTATACTGCATTGAAAACTGGCACCCTAAACAATATAGTCTAAAGAATAAGGTATTTCTTGCACCAGTTTAGACTGCAATTTCATCCATTTAAATGTTTCCATCAAAATCAAGTGGCTATTGGCTTGCTCGTTTGCAAAAAAAAAAAAAGCAGGGCGAGGCCTGGCACAGTGGCTTATGCCTGTGATCCCAACACTTTGGGATTGGGAGGCCAAGGTGGGTGGGTTACCTGAGGTCAGGAGTTTGAGACAAGCCTGACCAACATGGAGAAACCCCCTCTCTACTAAAAATACAAAAATTAGCTGGGCATGGTGGTGGGCATATGTAATCCCAGCTACCTGGGAGGCTGAGGCAGGAGAATCGCTTGAACCCAGGAGGCAGAGGTTGCAGTGAACCGAATCCCACCATTGCACTCCAACCTGGGCAACAAGAGCGAAACTCTGTCTCAAAAAACAAAAACAGGAAAAACAGCAGGGTGAATTTTAAAAAAACTACACCCTACCTAGTGGTAAAGTTTAGGATATTAACACTGTCATTCTCATACTGTGGTCCCAGACCAGCAGCATCATCTGGGAATTTGCTAGAAATGCAAATTCTCAAGCCCTATACCAGACCTCCCAAATCAGAAATTCTGATAACAAGCGTTCTAGGTATTTCTGATGTACATAGAAGTTAGAGAACGGCTGGGCGTGGTGGCTCACGCCTGTAATCCCAGCACTTTGGGAGTCTGAGGCGGGTGGATCACGAGGTCAGGAGATTGAGACCACCCTGGCTAACACGGTGAAACCCTGTCTATACTAAAAAATGCAAAAAAAATAGCAGGGCGTGGTGGCAGGCACCTGTAGTCCCAGCTACTCCAGAGGCTGGGGCAGGAGAATGGGGTGAACCTGGGAGGCAGAGCTTGCAGTGAGTTGAGATGGGGCCACTGCACTCCAGCCTGGGCAACAGAGCGAGACACACATTTCAGGAGAACAGGTTCTTGTTAGGGGCTAATTTTCCTAAATTTGAACCAAGTAATTTCAAGTAGTCAAGAAGAAGTAAATCCATCAAACTATTGTTACTATTTTTTTATTACTTAAAATAGTTTCATTATATCAAATGATTTCAAAATAATGATGAAGATAAAATTAATAAGAAAAAATTATTTTTGTAACCAGAAGATAAATACCTTGGGAATCCTGAAGGTGGATCTATATCAGAACTTCTCTACATTGACAGTACTGATAATACGGACAGGAACATTCTTTGTTGTGGAGGCTGATCCTGAGCATTACAGGATGTTAACACCATCCCTGGTGTTTACCCACTAGATGCCAGAAGTATCCTCTTCCTACTGTTGTGAAAACTTGAATTTTTCTAACTGTCTCCTGGACGTCAAATTGCCCCAATGTTGAGAACGACTTATCTAGTTGATTATTTAGAAGGACTTTATTTGTTAGTTAACTTTAAAAGAAACAACATCTATTGGGCAACTACTGTTAGCAAAGCACTGTGCGTTGCATTAAAGATACATATTCCATATTGGCATAGAAATTTTAGTACATCAGAGCCAGGTGTAGTGGCTCACTCCTGTAATCTCAGCATTTTGGGAGGCCAAGGCAGGAGGATCACGAGGTCGGGAATTCGAGACCAGCCTGGCCAGCATGGTGAACTCCCGTCTCTACTGAAAAAAAAAAAAAAAAAAAAAATTAGCTGGGCATGGTGGCGAGTGCCTGTATTCCCAGCTACTCGGGAGGCTGAGGCAGGAGAATCGCTTGAACCTGGGAGGCGGAGAAAGTTGCAGTGAGCCGAGATCGTGCCATTGTACTCCAGCCTGGATGACAGAGTGAGACTCCATCTCAAAAAAAAAGAAAAAGAAAAAAGAAATTTTAGTATATCAGAATGAGTTCTAAGCCTGAGAGCAAGTTGTATTGGGGCCTTACTCAGCTATATTCCTCAAATGTTCCTCAGGGAATCAGTTTGTTCTAGTCCATGAAATTACAGCTAATCATTTTATTTAAGTTGACTTGTGTCAAATTTGAACCTAAGAAAGAGAGATAATGAGGCACTGGGGTGTCTTGGAAAAAGCAGTGATTAGCACTTAGGTGACATGGCTTATCATTTTATCTCTATTACTAATTTGTTGCACAGTCTTAGGAAATTCGCAAAATCTTTTGGATCTAATTTTTTATTCTTCTTTGAGACGGAGTCTTGCCCTGTCAGCCAGGCTGGAGGACAATGGCACCATATCTGCTCACTGCAACCTCCGCCTCCCGGGTTCAAGTGATTCTCCTGCCTCAACCTCCCAAGTAGCTGGGATTATAGGCGCACGCCACCATGCCCGGCTAATTTTGTGTTTCTTTAGTAGACACGGGCTTTCACTATGTTGGCCAGGCTGGTCTCGGGCTCCTGACCTCGTGATCCGCCCGCCTACACCTCCCAAAGTGTTGGCGTTACAGGCGTGAGCCACTGCGCCCGGCCTGGATCTAATATTTGAATATGTAAACTGCCCCTGATGGGCTGTATGATTTCTATGATGACCTTTGCTTTTATATTTTATCAGTAATAAATCTCAGTCATACTCAAGTATAATTGATATTTAGCTAATAATTATTAAGAACCACACTAAGCACATATATTATGTCTTTAATCTTCCTATCAATTCCAAGTGGAGCTATCATTGTCATTTTCAAAAATTTCAAGATAGAGATATTGAGACCCAGTCATGTTGCATCTGTAACTTTCCAAGTCCATACAGCAGTGTTTAGGCATCCTAGGAAGGGCCAGGGCTCTTCCCACTACTCATGTCAGTCTTTTTGTATCAAAGCTGATCCCTGGGAGGATGCAAAATGATTATCCTAAAATGATACGAGAGGAGAAAAAACATCAACACAAGCTACCGCAAAATAATATGAGATTTTATTGTTAGTAGAATTAATCCAAACAAAGACAACAGAACACAGGTGTGGTATGGGGCAATTGCTAGTTTTCACTCCTCAAAGTGTTTATGGAGCACTTTTAATTTGTCAAGCATTATGCTAGTGCTCTAAGACATGGAAGTTTCTAGATCTTGACTGCCCTCAAGGAGTTCAGGAGTCTGCACAGTGCACGCCTCCTGGAAGAGAACTCTGGCTGGTTTTCCATTAAGCACCAGTGAGAACACAGTCAGTGGCCTGCTGGACAGGCCCGGGTTTTGTTTTTGTTTTTGTTTTTTGTTATTTATTTATTTATTTATTTTGCACTCCTAAGGAACCTGATGGAAAATGAAATTGCAGCAAGTGAAGATCATCAGGAAGACCTCCGCATTAGGCTCACTTGCATTCCTTAACTCCTTTCAAATAAAAATAAAGAATAAAAATTCTAAAGTTTTCTAATAGACTTTTACTCACGCCCTATCGTCGTTGCTTCCAGAGGTAGAACTTAGTCATACAGGCTTGTAACACTCGAATAGTGGCCCAGGCATCCTTGCTGGGTTTGATTAGGAGGCCGAGCTTCCGACTTTCAACTACCTGAGGTATAGCTCATGAGAACTTGAGAACAGGTTGTCTAGCGGGTTCTAACTCAGCTACTTTTCACAAATGTTGCTGAGAGAACCAGTTTATTCCGATCCATGACGTCATAGCTAATTATTTTATTCATATTTATTCATGTAAAACTTGACCCTAGGAAGGATAGAAGTGAAGAAAAGTAGAATCCTTGGTTAAGAGTTCTTTTACTTTTTTTTTTTTTTTTTGGAGCGGGGATGGAGTCTTGCTCTGTCGCCCAGGCTGGAGTGCAGTGGCGCAATCTCGGCTCACTGCAAACTCCGCCTCCCGGGTTCACACCATTCTCCTGCCTCAGCCTCCCGAGTAGCTGGGACTACAGGCGCCCGCCACCACTCCTGGCTAATTTTTGTATTTTTAGTAGAAACGGGGTTTCACCGTGTTAGCCAGGATGGTCTCGATCTCCTGACCTCGTGATCCGCCCGCCTTGGCCTCCCAAAGTGCTGGGATGACAGGCGTGAGCCACCGCGCCCGGCCTGGAGTTCTTTACTTTTAACATCACTCACCGTTGATGTGAGACATAATTGTTAGACTTGGTATTATACGAAAATTAAAAAGAAAATGGAGGTGAAATGGCTTTTTTGGGTCCAATTTATTACAGTAAATTAAGTGAAACAAAGCCAATATGCCATTTACCTGTACGTCATTCTTTCGATATCACATCATTTTCGTCTTTCAGGAAAGCCATGGCTTATTTAACATGCCCCAGATTACCCTTGACAAGGACTTAGTCAAAAATCAGCAGGCTTTAAGGGTCCCATTTCTGCTGTTATTACTTTAACGAGAAGGACCCTGAAGAAAGAAAATAAAAGATACAGGTGAATTACATTGGTTATGTTTTCTTTTTCTGAACTTGAGAAAAAGCTGATTTGTCAGTGGATGTGTGCAAAAATTCTGTTGTGAAGCCTTACTCCTGGCAGAGTGCTGGAATGGGCTCTCGGCGTTATTAGTATTCTCCATGACGGTTTGTTGTCTTCTGGGGCAATTATCTTGCTTTAATTTAGGTCACTAATGATATTATGAGCTAGTTTGATGATGGTGTAATTTCTTTTGATGTTGTGTTTGTTGCTCTTGCTTATATCAACTCATTGTGATTCCATAAAAGACTGAATTCTATACCCACTGAGGGAGGGTAGGGAGGGAAGCAGGAGGGGTTGAGAGGAGGAGGGAGGGAGCTGGGGATGCAGCGAATGGCAAGGCCGGGTGCTGGGATCTGGCAGCCGCGCTTCCACGGTGAGGGTTTGCCCCGTCCTGTTCCGCTTCTCTCCCAGTGTGGAGACTGAAGGCTGGGAGATCACACCACACGGCTCAGTGTCCTGTCAGGTTTGAAATTATTTCTGACAGGCTACCAAAACAATTGGTCCCTCACTCCAGCAGCTTTTACACTAGTTGAAGTCTAATTTATAAGATAGATCATCCGCTTCAGTTCTCTCATCTCAGCTCCTCCTAAGCGACCTTATGCAGAGACCTCATTTGAGAAATACAAAGCCGGCCCAAAGCCCACCCCTTCAGAGCCCCCCACAAATGACCCCCTTGAAAAGACAGCCTGGAGGCCTCTATTGATTATTGCTTAATGTAAATACTCTTCTTAGCACTCAGCTTTATTTTTTTTATTGCATGGGAAACCATGGTATTTATATGAAATGCATGCTTACTGGTGTTGTTTTAATAGAAACTAGCTCTGGAATGTGTCCACTCGGTCTACTCTCACCCTCGTTAATACTGAAGGAGGGCTGACTTTGTGTCAGAGAGATTGTTCTCGCTGTGGTGCAGTCTGGGTCTCCTGCCAGGAGAGCTATTAGTAGAATGGTTTTGGAAATGAAATTCAGAATTCCCAGTGGGTTTTCTGGTTGGAGGGGAACCATATATTTTGAGAATATCTATAAGGTAAATGAAATCTTTAAAACTTCAGAAATATTACTATATAGAGAGTACATTTTAGCTAAAAATAGTATTTAGAAAATTATTTGGTTAGGAAAGAGATCATGTCCTTTGCAGAAACATAAATGGAGCTGGAAACCGTTATCCTCAGCAAACAAACACAGGAACAGAAAACCAAACACCGCACGTTCTCACTTATAAGTGAGAGCTGAATGATGAGAACACATGGACACATAGTGGAGAACAACACACACTGGGGTCTGGTTGGGGGGTAGGGGAAGGGAGAGCATTAGGAAGAATAGCTAATGGATGCTGGGCTTAATACGTAGGTGATAGGTTGATCTGCTCAGCAAACGACCATGGTACATGATTGCCTATGTAACAAACCTGCACGTCCTGCACATGTACCCTGGAACTTAAAATAAAGGTTGAAGAGAGAAATAAAAAAGAAAATACTTGTATTATTTAGAGATGCTATTATTCAGAAATGGCACTCGGCAAATATTAGTCTATCTAACAACATTGAAAAGATAAAAGCCGAGCTGTTTACTTATACAGTCCATCCAAGGAAACTGTCAATTTCATACCCTACAACCCAACCCAAAATTGCTTAAAAGCTGTAAATAATGCAGTTCTGGGAGGATTCCAGCTAATGCACGTTTTCCAACTTCTCTCGGATCACAGCGGTATGCTACTACTACTCACGGGTGGTTTAAGCTCCTAGTCTAAAAACTGGCCAAGAAAGCCAGTTTCTCCACAATGATGCGGAAGCCATCAGCCCCAGTGGCCACTGTTCTTGGAACCATAACAGGCCCTGAGAACTCATGTTTCTACTTCCCAAGATTAATTTGCCCACCTGCTGGGCCAAGTACACATTTAGGTATCTAGAAAAGTGGAGTGTTGTTATTTCTTTTACTGATCTGTGGCCCAACATTGAGGTTATAAAAAACAGCTGTCACTTTTGTGGATTCAGTTATACAGCTCTAGTTATTTAGTATTTATTTACTCCCTAGCTCTTAAAGGTGATGGGAATAAAGTTCTCAATGCTCATTATTGGTGAAGTAAATATTTTCCAAACTAGAAGTGTTAGTTTTTTATTTTAAAATTCTTCTCAGCATACACTTTTTTGATAAAGGCTTGGTTTTAGATAAAAAATAAAATTTAAAAAAATTAAAATAAAAATAAAGGAATTAGGATTATTGCCTAATATATGAACATATGAACAACATACATAGTGAATGCAATATTTTTAAATCTAGAAAATAAACATGAAAGCTGGAAACCAAGGAAGGGGCGGCAACTTACAAGTGTCAGATATTCTGCTGGGCACTGAGGTTAAGTCTCTCATGAAATTTAATATTCTATAGGTGTGGTCAGGTCAGATAAATTAGAGCTTGCTAATGAAAATGTGAAATAAATTGTAGAAGCATCACACACTTTTGAAAACTATTTACATTTAGCTAAATCACTGAATAGACCAACATGATCTATTGACTATGCAATGAGTTAACAGGCCTGGGTAACCATATGTTGTTTGATTTTGGGAAATAGTACAGCAAAGTCACTTAAGATAATCTGCCTATGGTTCAATGGAGAGAGCATTCTAACAATTTCTTTATTTTTCACCTGGAAAAACTTCTCTCATTCAATTGCTTTTTTTTATGACTACTCTAGATATCTAAACATTGCACTTGAACCACAGGCGAAATTTTATAATTCTTTTATTTAAAAATCTTCTTAGGGCTGGTGGGGTTTTGTTATTATTTTAGGCACTATCAAAAATATGGATAAAAGAGAAATCTCAAATTCTCTTTCCCTGGAACTTGTGAAGAAATGGAGATAATGTGAAAGATTGAAACAAACAAACAAGAAAAAGATGAATACATCTTAATCTCTTGTGATTTGAGAAGGAGGCAAGATAACATGTTGAAAGCCCCACTAATCTGAGTTAAAGAAAGTTTGCTACTCATGAGGGCATTTTATGAATATCACTATGATTTTTCAACAGGCCATTTCACCTCTCTGAACATCAACTGCTAACTTAGAAAATGAATGAACTGGACTAACGAATATCTAAAGTCACTTTGAATTCTAAAGTGTTATGGTTCTTTTAAAATCAGTCGCAAAGTGAGATTGGACTAAAAATATTACCTCACCACTCTTACTCATGGTGTCAATTCCCTAAGCCTTCCTATCTTTTAGAAAAGTTTTCTGTTTGCTTAATAATGTATTTCAGTACTAATTGTAATACTAATAGCTTCATGTCAACAGGCGAGCCAAGCTAGAAAAAAAAAAAACAAAAAACAAGAGGTAGACACAGAAGTACTCTAAACCAGCTTGGTTTCATGTAGTCTTGTTTAAAGAAAACTTCCAAATTCCAGCTGTGTACTGTTTAAATGTCTCCTTAAATGAAACTGACAGAGGGAGAATAGGATCCAATTAGCAAGAGTTTCCTTTCCTTGCATCTGATAAGTTAACATCTGTGCCTTCTGATAAAGCCACTCTATTTTTTTTTTAGTGGCATTTGCACTATTCATTAGTTCCCTTTTAGTACAAATAGCTGACTCCAAAAAATGCCCTGGGGCTACAAGGAATTGTTAGACAGGTGGTAGAGAGGCATCACCTGAGAAGAGAACCTCTCCAGCTATACATTTGAGTTTCCACATTAACAATATACATTCAAATGGGAAAGAAAACTTTATTAGTCGCATTGAGTATTTTAATATTTCCAGTGATTCACTTAATATAATGTAATAAGGTTATGATGATATCAATAATGATGGCAAGATTAATTACTAATTCGCAGTTATCTGCTGCTTCTCTTTAAGGTACACAAAGTATTTAAGAAAATGCTGTTGCTGTTGTTGTTGCTGTTGTTGTTTCCTTGTGATTGTGTGTCCCTGTTCAGACGGGAAATTTTTTTTTCTCTTACCCTCATTCCCAAATATCAGGCCCTCAGGTTATATTTTTGTTTGCAGAATTCTCAGCCCTCCTCCAATTTTTCTGCCAATTTCCCCCCAGCTCTATCATGTCAGACAATGTCCTCTGGAGCCTCCATCTGTCAGCAAGCACCTCCATCCTTCTGTTTCTGCACGTAATACTCCCTCCTCTTCTGTCTTAAAGGAATTCAGAAGACACCAACCAGTTCCCTTGTAGTCATCCCTTTTACTGAGAGGTTTCTGGTTCTCACAAGCCCAACACCTACTGACCACATGGACAATATGTAATGTTGGCTAAATCCTTGTGTAACAACCTCTTCTCTTAAAGGCTTCTGCACTGCAGTGATTTCACCAGAATCAGTCCATCTTTTTCCTCTATCTATCCACAGCCTCTTTGAGAAACACACGCCTCTTCTCATTCTGACAAGACTTTTAAGAGCTTTGGTCCAGAACTTAGTGTTTGAGGTAGTTCCCTCCTTCATACCTTAAAGATTCTGAAATAATAGCCTTAATAATCTGCCATTACCTAAGAGGAGATCTACTGTTTTTAATCAGAAGAAAACTTTTTATAGCAGGAACTCTGCAAGAGTCTGCAAAGATGGGTTCCAATCATGGGAAGGGTCTTTAGCAGTCACCTACCAGTGCACTGTGACGTAGGACCCTTTTCCTGTCATTGCTGAACAGATAGTGATGGCCCAATATCTTCCACCCAGAGAGCACAAAAAATAACAAAAAAAAGCTAAACATTTATTTTTTAATTATGATGAGCTGACTTACTTATCCATATGGAGTCCAGACCACTGTGACGCCAACCACTGTGGCAGGTAGGAAATTCATTATATATTATTTGCAGCACTTCATTTGCAGTGAAAGCTTTCACTCAAATTAGCACTTATTTATTGGTCAGACAAAATATGTGGCATGATTGCTCTACCATTTGATTGCAAGCAGAGAGATGGTATAGAGTCAGATGTGGGGTGGGCATACTGAATGTTGTATCAAGCAAATAAGAGCGGCAGTAGAAATTTCCATTCTTAAAATTTGAACAACACTGGGGACTCCCAGTGTGAAGAAATGTCAGCAGTTCCCCTCCACCCAAAATAAACCCCAAACTGGATACAATTGTCAAAAACTACCACTTCACAGCTCTGTGAAATGCCATAGGTAAACAACAAATACAGAAGCCTCTATCCATGAAAAATTCTTGGGCTCCAGGTAAAAACAGTGGAGTCTGTTGCATTCTCGCCTGGGGATGTCCCATTCTTCTTCTTCCCCAAGTCAGTTGAGATGGTAGTGCTACTAGGACAGGGATGGTTGTAAAAATGAGCAACTTTGTTGCTGGAGGGGTTTAATTTGATTTGGCAAAATCTTATACTCAGTGGCATTGTCAATGAAAGCAGCAAATTCAAAAGAAAATAAAAAGGGAAAATATGAAGGTGGGGTCCTGGTTGGGTAAGAAGTTGAATGGTGGACTAGTCAGAAATTTAACCAGGGGGTTCTGGAAATGAGAGGGCAATAAAGGAGCTAAGTAAGCTTTCTACACATGCCTGGCTGACTCAGAGTCTGTCGGGACAGTTCCAGGATGTCCCAGCAGAAGTAAACACTTGCCCAAATGTGAAATCTGCATGACATTTAAATGCAGGCCCCAAACCATACTCAGACCTGTCAGGAGAGGACAGAGTTTTACTGGCATGAGGTATTTAAGCAAAGCCTCTGGCCAAATGATTGGCTATGAAGCCATGCAGGTGCACGTGTGATCTTTAGGATGCCAGGATAATAAATAAAAACAAGAATAAGAATAAAAAGAACTTGAACAGAGACACAGTGGGCCTACACCGTGAAGGGAGAGTAAACACAATAGTCTACACAAATTACTAAAAAGGAAAACAAGATGGAAAAAATAACAACTCTCAAAATCCAGAATTGCTACAATAAATTGTCTAAAATTGCTGTGTTTTTAGTAAAAAAAAAAAAAAAAAGGATATACAAACAATAGGGAAGTGTAACATATATAGGGATAAAAGTAGTAAAAAGTGTGAATGGGCAAAGATGTTGGCTTTAATAAAGTCTTCAAAGAAGCTATTATATATGCATGTTAAAAAATTAAAGAAAAATATGATGATGAATCAACAAATAGGAATCACAACAGTAGAAACTCTAAAATAAGTTTTAGAAATAGAAACTAAGTAGAAAGTTTTAAAAAGTGAAACTCTAAAACCAAATGGAAAATTTTAAGTTGAAAAGTACAGTAACTAACATGAATAATTTATTACATGGACTCAACAAGCAGACTTAAGATGACATAAGCAAGAATCTACGAACTTGAAAATAGAACACTAGAAATTATTCATTAAAGAAAAATGAATAATCAGAGACTTGTAGGACAACTAAAACTCTGTCAACATGTAGGTGTAATGGGAGTCCTGGAAAAAAAGGTGAGAGGAAGGGGGCAGAAAAAATGTTTAAAGAATAAATTCTTATAATTTTCCAAATTGGATGACAAATATTACTACAGGGAAGCTCAATGAATCCAAGTAGGATAAATACAAAGATATCCACACTTACCACATTATGGTTAAACTGTTGAAAGTCAAGGGCGAAGAGAAAATCTTAAAAGCAGCAAAAGAGAACGGACTCACTGTGTACAGAAGAGCAGCAATATAATTAAAAGTTGCCTTTTTGTCAAAAGTGATAGAGATCTGAAGGTAGTGGAGTGGCAAAATTAAACTTCTTTAAAAAGAAAAAGCAAAAACAAACTTGTCCACCAAGAATTCAACAAAACTATCTTTCAAAAAGAAAAAATAAAGGCATTATCTTGCCTGAGAAAATTGATTGCTGGCAGAATTGCTTTGCAAGAGATGTAAAAGAGAGTTCTACAGCCCGAAAAAGAATCACGCTAAATGGTAATTCAAATCTAGAGGAAGAAATGAAGAACACTGAAAATGAAAAATATGTGAGAAAGTATAAAAGAATACATAGCTATCTTTTTAAAAAGAATTTTTAAAATTTCTTCAATAGTCATGGGCAAATATTATTATGACATTATATTTATGGCTTTATAACATATACATGTAATATACATGACAATTAGAATTAAAAAATGGGAGGAAAAGGAGCTACACTGGAACAAAGCTGCTCTATTTTTCTGGAACTAAGCCAGTGCTAACCTGAGACAGACTATGACAAAGTAAGAGGCATGCTGTAATGCCTAGGTCAAC
This sequence comes from Homo sapiens, assembly GCF_000001405.40. Taxonomy (NCBI): domain Eukaryota; kingdom Metazoa; phylum Chordata; class Mammalia; order Primates; family Hominidae; genus Homo; species Homo sapiens. The sequence goes on along the minus strand of NC_000006.12, from coordinate 9,328,855 downwards.
TACTAGATTAACAGACATACAGTAATGAGACATTTTAAAATTGTGAAAAGTTAAGAGTCATATAATACTCTCTAGAGCAAAAATATGCATCTTTTACATAAAAGAAGGCAATAAAGGAGGAACAAAAGTTAGGCATATAAAAATCAAATGGAAATGAGCAGTCATAATCCAACCATGACAATAAGCACACTAAATGTGAATGAAAAAATCACTGTAATTAAAAAAACACAGATTGTAAGACAGGATTTAAAAAATCAGGATCCAACTGTCTCCTAGAGAAACACAATAGAATCATGGGCATGAATAGGTAGGATGTAAAAGCGTAGACAAATATATACCAAGCAAATAGTAGGCATAAGAGAGCAGAAGTATCTAATATTAATATCAGAAAAAATAGTCACTAAAACAAAAATATTACTAGAGACAAAGTGAGACATTTCATAGTGATAAAAGGGTCAATTCAACTGGAACACATAATAATGGTAAATGTATACTCAAAAGGAAAACATCTAAAATAAATGAAGCAAAAACTCACTAAAACCAAAGGTAAGAAAGACAATTCAACAATTAGAATCAGAGTTTCAGTATTTCACTCTTAATATATATTAGAACTAGACAGAAAATAGTACACTCGAACAACACCTTGACTTAACTGTAGATTGATTTAACTCAGCAACAGCAAAATACACTTTCTTTTTATAACACACATAGAAGTCTCTAAAGTAGACCAACTACAAATTTAAAACAACTCTTTTTTTTTCTTTTTTTTTTATTATTATACTTTAAGTTTTAGGGTACATGTGCACAATGTGCAGGTTTGTTACATATGTATACATGTGCCATGTTGGTGGGCTGCACCCATTAACTCGTCATTTAACATTAGGTATATCCCCTAATGCTATCCCTCCCCCCTCCCCCCACCCCACAACAGGCCCTGGTGTGTGATATTCCCCTTCCTGTGTCCATGTGTTCTCATTGTTCAATTCCCACCTATGAGTGAGAACATGCGGTGTTTGGTTTTTTGTCCTTGTGATAGTTTGCTGAGAATGATGGTTTCCAGCTTCATCCATGTCCCTACAAAGGACATGAACTCATCCTTTTTTATGGCTGCATACTATTCTATGGTGTATATGTGCCACATTTTCTTAATCCAGTCTATCATTGTTGGACATTTGAGTTGATTCCAAGTCTTTGCTATTGTGAATAGTGCTGCAATAAACATACGTTTGCATGTGTCTTTATAGCAGCATGATTTATAATCCTTTGGGTATATACACAGTAATGGGATGGCTGGGTCAAATGGTATTTCTAGTTCTAGATCCCTAAAGAATCGCCACACTGTCTTCCACAATGGTTGAACTAGTTTACAGTCCCACCAACAGTGTAAAAGTGTTTCTATTTCTCCACATCCTCTCCAGCACCTGTTGTTTCCTGACTTTTTAATGATCGCCATTCTAACTGGTGTGAGATGGTATCTCATTGTGGTTTTGATTTGCATTTCTCTGATGGCCAGTGATGATGAGCACTTTTTCATGTGTCTGTTGGCTGCATAAATGTCTTCTTTTGAGAAGTGTCTGTTCATCTCCTTCGCCCACTTGTTGATGGGGTTGTTTGTTTCTTTCTTGTAAATTTGTTTGAGTTCATTGTAGATTCTGGGTATTAGCCCTTTGTCAGATGAGTAGATTGCAAAAATTTTCTCCCGTTCTGTAGGTTGCCTGTTCACTCTGATGGTAGTTTCTTTTGCTGTGCAGAAGCTCTTTAGTTTAATTAGATCCCATTTGTCAATTTTGGCTTTTGTTGCCTTTGCTTTTGGTGTTTTAGACATGAAGTCCTTGCCCATGCCTATGTCCTGAATGGTATTGCCTAGGTTTTCTTCTAGAGTTTTTATGGTTTTAGGTCTAACATTTAAGTCTTTAATCCATCTTGAATTAATTTTTGTATAAGGTGTAAGGAAGGGATCCAGTTTCAGCTTTCTACATATGGCTAGCCAGTTTTCCCAGCACCATTTATTAAATAGGGAATCCTTTCCCCATTTCTTGTTTTTGTCAGGTTTGTCAAAGATCAGATAGTTGTAGATACGTGGCATTATTTCTGAGTGCTCTGTTCTGTTCCATTGGTCTGTATGTCTGTTTTGGTACCAGTACCATGCTGTTTTGGTTACTGTAGCCTTATAGTATAGTTTGAAGTCAGGTAGTGTGATGCCTCCAGCTTTGTTCTTTTGGCTTAGGATTGACTTGGCAATGTAGGCCGGGCATGCTGGCTCATGCCTGTAATACCAGCACTTTGGGAGGCCAAGGCGGGTGGTTCACTTGAGGTCATGAGATGGAGGCCAACATGGTGAGACCCCGTCTCTACTAAAAATACAAAAATTAGCCAGGAGTGGTGGTGAGCACCTGTAATCTCAGCTACTTGGGAGGTTGAGGCAGGATAATCGCTTGAACCTGGGAGGCAGAGGTTGCAGTGAAAGAGCCAAAATCATGTCACTGCACCTCAGCCTGGGTAACAGAGCAAGACTCTGTCTCAAAACAACAATGACAAAAAAACAGAATAAAACAAAACAAACAAACAAACAAACAAAAACTCTTAAAAATGATTAAAATAATTGAAATAGCCAAAGTATCTTTCCCAACTACAATAAAATTGGAACTGAACAACAGAAAGAATATTGGGAAATCCCTAAATATTGACAAATTAGACAATACAATTCTAAGTAATACCAAAGACGTCACAGAGAATTGGAAAGTATTTTGACCTAAATGAAAACAAAACTCAATACATCAAAATCTGTATTACATGATGCAACATGGATGAACCTCAAAAACATTATACTAAGTTAAAGAAGCCAGATGCAAAAAAAATTGCATATTACCTGATTCTGTTTAAATGAAGTATCTGGAAAACTCAAATTTAAAGAGACAGTATTCAGATTAGTAGTGCCGGGGGCTGGGGTGGGAGGGGAACATGGTGGGTAGGTGCAGAGATTGACCGCAAAAGGGCATGAGGAAACTTTTTGGGGTGATGGAAATATTTTAAAACTAGATGTGGTGAGAGCTGCACAACTCTCTAAACTCGCTAAGAAGTATTCCATTGTATATTTACAATAGGTCTATTTGATGATGTGTGAATTGTACCTCAATAGAGCTGTTAAATACACAAACAAATGTATTGAATAAGTTTATAACATGGTCAAAATCTGGAAAATTTGTTTCATAATAATTTGGCATATTTTTACTTATTTCCAAGAAAAAAAATCCCTATAAATCTTTATATTTAAAACAAAGTCCTAGACTAAAATGTCCTAAATTACAAAGCCCCATTCTTTCTAGAGAAAAACACAGTATAGCTATAGCATTTCAAGCATTCAAAACGGGTCACTACCTTTTGTGTGTTCCTGCATACATGGATAGGTAGAGGCTAATCAATTTAAGACCAATAACTGACTGGCAACTTGGAGGAGTTTTTCTGAATCTGAACTGGGCACAAAAATTGAATCACATATTCTTTAAATATTTTTGTTTTAATTTAAAGCACTTAAACAAAAAATAATTCTGCAATAACTATGCCACAATCATTTCAGTGTTACATTGGTTATTGATGTTCAGGCCTACTTATTGGAGGTTCCTACTATTTTCCTGGAATAGCCACAGACAAAATGACATTTTTGCAAGTTCTTGCTTTGGTTTTATTAAGGTAGAACATGAACTGTGCATTAATTTATAAAATTAATCTTTCTAGATTTTTATTAATTTTCTTTATATGTGACAGCAAAAATTAGAAACATTATTTTCTAGACTTTTCAAAAAACAGTCAATTGTGTTTTTAAAGAAATATCTTCTTAGCACATGGTCTATCTTTTGCGCTCATGTTTTTTTTTTCTATTTACATGTTACTAAATTAAAGTTTATAGTTGTAAAACAAAAGCCACTGATATAAAAAGATATGGAAACAAAAAAAATTGAGGCAAACATAGAATTGAGCTGGTGGAAGCCAAAGTGTACAGGTTTTTTAATTCATTTGGCCAATAAGGTAAATGGATATTTTTTTTGTAGCAAGCACTTGCAAAAGGTGTTGTAGACTGTTTAGCTTTCATGTCGCTCCTCCACGTTCTCTGTGGAACTCCTTTCCAGCCCTTGTATCAGTTATATATTGCCACAGTGAGGCTGCACAGCAGCTGCAAAACTTCAGTGCCATATAAAAATAAGCATTGATTCCTCACTCATCTGGAGCCAGTGAGGGAGGCTAGACCGCTCTATCGATCTTTATTGAGTTCTTCATGCTATTGACTGGTCTCCAGTGACCTTCACTGGTTCGAGTGGGGCAACTCAGCCCTGTCTGCTCTGAATGTCTCATCCATCAGCAAGCTAGCCTGTATGTTTTTGGAGGGGACAAAGGCAGAGGAGCAAGAAAGAAAAACCCTAAAGAACAGGTTATTTTTCAACCTCTGCTTTGTGTCTAATTTTCTAACATTCCGTTGGTCAAAGCAAGTCATGTAGTTGAGCCGGGAGCCAAGTTGTGGTTCTGAATGCCCCACCCACAATGAGGGAAAGCATGTCAAAATTACAGAGGAAAAGGGAGATTTAGGGTAGGAAGAATCGAGAACATTTTTAAAATCAATCTGTCACATGCTACTATCCCGGAGGCTAAAATCATATGCATTAACTTCCTAGCACCTGAGACTTGCAGTCCCTTTTCCACCTCGACTATTATTATTCCTTTGCCCTCTCCTTTTATTACCAACTCCTATGGCCTCACCCTTGGCTGCTAGGGGTCCAACTCTCAACCTAAATTCCAAACACACTTTATGAATAAATTATTCTATCTGTCCAGCTCTCTCCTTCCCTGACTCTACTTTTCCAACTTCAGTATCCTTGTGCTCAAAGCCCAGTCTTTGATCCTTTCTTCCCTGGTCTCCAAGTGTATCGACTGCCCGTGGATTCATTTCTTTCCTCAACACAGGAGAACTCAGTCCTCATTAGCTGAACCTTTTCCTTGTTAGAATTGCTCTTCCCCCATACTCCCTTGAACAAACTTTAAACACAAATGAAATCAACTACCCATGTTTTCCACACTGATACCTGGGTCGTTTGGTGCTGCTGGAGAAAAAACATAGAGCTTGGCTGAGGCTGAGTTGGCTAGCCATCTGCCAAAGATTTGCGGTGCCTTTTCAAGGTATCAATGTATTGCTGTGAATCAGCTTTCTGGCCAAGTTCTACATTTTCCAGCAACTCCTTTGCACCTATATTAGGCCATATCACTGAAGATGTCCACTCAAATGGAACCACGCCACTTCCAGACGGGACACTAAGAATGCCTTCTGTAATTCTCCAGTCCTTTCTTTTTCTCTCCTTGCCAACTGGCTACAGAGTATCCATCATAAGACCCTGAGGTCCCACAGATGATAGTGCCACAAAAAGGAAAGAGCCTGGGTGGCTGAAGGAACATGAGGAATGTTACCTAACAACCAGGAACAGCTATGTTGGAATCAACAGGAAGAGGGCAGGGCATGGTGTCACATGCCTATAGTCCCAGCTACTGGGAAGGCAGAGGTAGGAGGATTCCTTGAGTCCAGGAGTTCGAGACCAGCCTGAGCAACATAACAAGGACCTGTCTTTAATTAAAAAAAAAAAAAATATATATATATATATACACACACACATATATATGCATATACACAAACATATATATCTTTTTAAAAAGATATATATATACAAATTTAAATGTTGATTCCATGGGATTTTATATATATATATGTATATATGTGTGTGTATATATACTCTTATGTGTATATATATATATACACACATATATACATATATAGTCTTGTATGTATACATACATATATACACATATATGTGTATGTATATGTATGTGTGTATATATATAATATATATATACAAGTAAGACATTTGGTTATTGTGTTAAGCCACTGGTTTTATACACACACACACACACACACACACACACACACACACACACGACATTTGGTTATTGTGTTAGGCCACTGAAATTTTGAGGTAGACATCTTCAGCAACGTGTCCTGGATAACTTAATAAATATCTATTAGTGCTGTAAGATCTGTAGTCCGCTATTTCATTGTAGCCTATTATATGGTTCTGCAATACTGAGCCAGGTTCCTGTAAGTCTTCTTCGATTCCTTTCAGCAACTGTTCACACCACTTCTTCTCTCCCCATATCCTCACCTATTTACTGTCTCACAATTCCAATCATTCTGAAGATAAACTTGCTTTCTTTTCACAAAAACTGAAATTCCTTCCTCATCTCTGAAATACAAGTGCCAAGAAAACATAAAATATGCCCAATTTTATAGTGGCTCAGAATGAATCAAATGTTCTTTGGCAAGTGTTTAAACACATAAGGAAAATAAACTCTTTCAAGCACTGGTGGGTACTGGATTTGACTTTCAAGTTTAGCAACAAGCTACTTATAGAAAATGTAAGTCACAAGCTACTGACAAAAATCAGTTATAATGGACATTTCATTAGAAGATTTTTCTTCAGTTATGAAGGCAATCACATAAGATTGTTTTCCTTTAGTAACTATCTTCTTGGATGGGATTAAATTTTGCTAATCTTGTAGAGCAGTAGCTCTCAATCTGTTAGGATTTATGGCTTACTTTCAAATTCAGAATTTTAGCATACTCGAAGTGATGTAAAGCCTCAGAACAACAGGTAATAAGCAAAAGCTAGAGCACAATTGTACTCTGGTATAACTGTTCCAGAAGGGTCTGTAGTCATTCAAATATTCTCTATTTCAGAGCCATATTGGTTATGCATAGAATAATTTCTGCCTTTACGTGTTTTGTTATACTCACAAGGAACATTCCGACAACTTTTTGGTAAATATCAGAATCTTTCTTTGCTACCAGCTTTCCTTTAGACTGAAACTAAGCCTCTTACCACTTGCTTACAAAAAACAACAGTTGAATTCTGCTGTTCTTTACTTCGCAGAAATCATTCCATTAGGTTCTCTTTCTCACAAACAGTATCCTGACAAAATAAATACTTAAGTTTAAGTATTTCCCCCAAAACACTTCCCATTACTGGCCCATTTGTCAAGGGCTTAGAACACATATACGAATTATAATAGGTTGGTCGAGAATAACTGTTGCAGGGAAATTAGAATAGGTAATTCAAACTTTATAAAATGAGAGTGTAAATGAGTTTGTTTAGTAGTGATTCCACAGGATCCAACTCAAGATGTTCAGAAGACAAATTCATTCGTAATATCTAAGGGCATCAAAGAGAGGAAATTTTGGAGCATGGAGAAAATCAAGTTAAATATAGATTCTATTTACTGCTAACACTAAAACATTATTTGTTTTAACAAAAAAAAAGAAAAGGTGAAATCCAAGACACTGTTAGGGATCAGGGGTCCATAAGATAAAGTTTCCTTCAGTGATGAGATTGTGAAGAGCATTTCAATGTTCACTAGTGTCAACAAGATTAAAAAAGAAAAAGAATAGAATGGGATACAGAGCGCATCCAACAGGAGTGCTGTTTATCTGGCAGAGTAGAGTCATGAAATGTTAAAAAGCCATGTTTCTCTCCTTTCTAAAATGCATGAAATCCTCAAGACAGAAATAATGATCATCTCGGAAGCCCATACAAAAGGAAGACTGTAGCATTAATTTACCAATCAATGAGCCATTTTGGTTGATCCTCCAAGCAATTGAGAAGAACTAGACATCATTATTAAACAAAAAGCACCATTTTAAATGGCAAGCATACATCATAATTTTAAATAATAATGCCTTACATTTGTGTGGCACTTCAGAGTTTACGAAGCACTTTTATGTACATTATCTCATTTATCAACCTCTAAAAGAGGAAGAAAAATTTAAGGCAAGGAAAGGGATTAATATCAGTGTTGCACTGGATAAATGAGGGCAAAGTTCTGGAAAAACAGAAGTCCTCAACAAATCTTCATCAGGAGCTGATGAATTGCCCATCTCAACTTCATTATCCTTATCATGAGCACTTATGAGAGAAATGAAAAATTGATGAGCACCGTCATAATCAAAGAGAATAAATGTTTCTCTGTTAAAGTGAATGCATAATCTTTCCAGGAATAAAATAACAATATTCATTAATTATTAAATTCCGATAATACTGACACCAAATTTCATTTCAACCAGTGAAGAAAATTAGCAATATAGAAGAAAACTGTTGGCATTGGCATTGTTAATCTATGTATACATACATAAAGTCGTTGAAAAGACTGCCTAAAATTTAGTCTTTTGTCTCTCCCAGTTGGGTGAATATTTTCAGAATCCATTTATATCAGAATATTCTGTTACCTTCTAAAAACAGATTGAGCAAATGTCAAAGGCTCTGCATGCATTACTTATAGCAGAAGTTAAGGACATCTTATGACAAAATCTTTTCTTGAGTCATCAGGTTTTATCAGAGAATTGCCATGTTTTCTTCAGTATCCCATATAACCTCTCAGCCCAGCCCTACACAAATATGCTGTAGGAAGTACAATTTACCCCATTAAGGAATTGCCTATTTTCTTTATCTGATCCCATCAGTTATTTCCATTCCACTGATGAAAATTACAACAGAGAATAGTGATAATTTGCCATTAGATACTTTAAAATGTTCATTAGTGATGTCTTTAAGATATAATGCTTTTTAATCACACACCAAAATTAAACTTCCAAATAAATACCAAATGTAACTAAGTAAAACAAAAGAAAGGAACAAATAAAAAAGCTTCAATACTTCTCCAAAGAGATGACCACTGCAAAATTATTGGTTTAGGTTTTTCTAGTCCTGTTTTCTATGACTGTGTGTGTATCTCTGTGTGTGTCTATGCAGATATGACTCTGTGAATCTATGTCTGTATGTGTGTATCGGTGTGTGTGTATTTTTGTGTGTGTGTATGTTTAGTCTGTAGCTGGGCACTTCTATAAGTCAGCTAAAACTTGCAGGCTTCTGTTACAAGTATTAAGGGAGAGTTAGCAATCTCTACAACATTAAGGCTAGATTAAAGCATATTCCTTCAAGAATCTATGATCTAGCCATTACAAATATTTATATTATGAAATAATTATTGAAAGACAAAAATGCCCATGATATCATAAATGAAAATATATTTTTAAAAATAATCATAATACATAGTTTTGTAACCTGAGAGCTAAAGATGCAGATGCTTCAAGGCTTAACAGATGGTGATTATGGTTTAAAGATAAGCATTTAAAAGGGATCATACCCAAATGATAAGTGTTGTAAGTTTTGAGCACATATCTTGCACCTAGAAATCTATTAAGCATGTAAACTCTATTAAGTGTGTTCCTAATTCCAACTTTATTACACACAGATTGTATTACGCAAAAGTAGAAATGTCTCCTTTATTTACTTGACCCTCAAATGTCATCTTAGGAAGGAGGAGATGACCATTTGAGAGGGAGGACACTTACTCTTGCCAGTCGCCCTTATGTAGTCTCTGGCTTTAACGAGTCTTTTATATTAAAGTAATATTAAGGCAATTTAAATTTCAAATTCCTTATTAGTCCCACTTCCCCCCAGGCCTCCATGGTTGTTCTTCTTCCATGTTCACATCTGGGCTAATAGCAAGTTTTTGGAGACTCGGGGTGGTGGTGGAAGGGGTCCCTGATTCTGTCACCAGGTTGAGGTCCGCTTGCTTGGGAACCTGTGCTAAGACTCACTGCTCCATGTCTTAGGCCATCATCTCTCCCCCTCACTGAATTAATAACATTTATTGCTTCAGTGGGAAGCCACACACCACCTAAAACAAGACATTAATACTCAGCTTTGAGCTCAGAACTAAAGATGTAAAATCATTAATAGAATTTTAGTCTTTAAAACCTGAGATTCTTGAAAGAAAAAAAAGCTGTTTTACTTTCCCAGGTCTGCTTCCTCTCTATGTAAAAAGAAAACCTCGATAATCTGAACATAAGGCTTTCCTCTAAGTCATGGTATTGAGGAAGAAGAGCATAAAGTACGGGAAGTCCCTTCCAAATACAAAAGGGAAAGTAACTCCTGGTACTAGGAGAATCTTGGAGAGAGGTTTGGGAGGGGGAAAGTACAGGGGCAGAGCCCAAATCAAATGGAGCCACAACCTTCCCCTGAGACGTGGAGAGGCAAGATGACGGATATGGAGAAACACAAGCACACAAGTTCTAGTTACCCATTTCTGAAGTTTATCTGGGATGTCTATAAGCCTCAGAGAAATCCTGCACTCAGCATCAAATGGAAGCTGTAGAGCATCAGAGATGAGAGAGTCCTCTAACATCTTGACCCAAAATGACCATTTAGACACATGGAGGGAAGTCTAGGAATTCCATGTGATTTGGTCATTGGACATGGATGTGCTGAGAGACACAGAAGATGCCTGAAATTGGGCAGAGAAGATTCCTTGAATAAGACATCACGGAAGGAATCATGATCAGCATCATTAGGTGTCAGCATAAGACCCCAGAATTCCAACTGGGCCAGCCACTCCTTATTAAACATAGAAAGGGGTGACCAGGACCTAGTGCAACAGGAGCATCATTACCCAGAGGACAGGCCAGGGAGCAGGGTTCCTTGGTGGAAGCTATGAATATGCCTGAATTTCAAGAATACCCAGGGAGGGAGCCAGGGGAAGAGACTGCCTATAGAGTTGGGCCTTGAAATCAACTGAATATTTACTCCAAACTGAAAGAAATGGAGTTTCATTTATTTGACAATTTTAAGTCACTTAGGTAGAGGTTGGTAAGCTGTAAGCCTTAAAAGTCCCAGAAATCAATCTCTTAAAGGGCGCCTGTGGCCTTTCAAGGAATTTTGGACTAAAAAATTCTGTAGTTTCTGAAACTGTCTACTTGTCTTTTAAAACAAGTATTTTGCAGCATTTAAAAATTTATATTTTAATTTGCAAAAGCTAACATGCCTAGCAAATAAGATTTCACTGTTACAGAAAACAAAATTTGTAACCAATCCCATAGCCTCCAGTGGGGATTGTTCTATAACGTTGATTCAGAAAATCTCTGAGGTCATTTTGCTATTGGAAGTAGACATTTATTTTAGTTTAGAGTGTTTTCCCTTTCTTAATCTCATTAATATCAAATTTAAAAAATTTTTACATCTCTGACCTAAAAATGATATATGAAAAAATAAAATAATTAAATATAAAGTTTAGAAAGTAAACAACCAAGCAAAAGATTATTTAATCATCATCATCGTTACTTTATTTTTTTTTCAGTAATTTTAAACCAAAGCATAAAAATAACTTATTTTGTTGCCCTGGAGGAAATTACACAGAAAACAATGTTCAGAATATTATGGAACAGTCATCTATAAAATGAAAATTTATTGACTATTAAAATATTTATATTACTGCTAATAAAAATGTAGTTTTGATATAATATGTACCTATGCTCTTATTTTGGAAATATATTTATATCTTTCTGAAAAAAATGATTATAAAACCGTATTTAAGAATATTAAAATGTGTCTTTTATTGGCTTATCTTAATTTTTTAACAGTTTCTTTAAGGAAACTATGTGCTGTAAAGAAGGAGAAAAATTTTGACTTAAATGGAACAAAGACAATTTTTGTGTTGTTAAAAATGTTAATGTCTCCCTGTGGAAAAAAGAAAAGAAAAGGATAACCTATCACGTAGACGTAAACATATACTTGATATTACAGCAAATGAGAAATTGGAAGTTGGGAATTCTCTGCCTGAAATGGTTCTTGAATTTTTCTTTTAGCTCAGGCAAGTCCAGCTACTTTCCAATTCTCTAGTTACCCCTTCTCAAACCTTGCAGTCACAAATTAGCAACAGACACAGGATTGCATGCCACCAGCTTTGCTCAGGAAAGACTTGGGCAGCTGCTCAACTGGATGAAATGTTGTTTGAGAGATTAACTCTGAAAAATGATGAAACCAACAGGAACACAGCAGTTGGAACTTGCCCCAAGTCATCGAAAGAAATGAAGTTCAATATAAAAATCTAAAATAAATAAGGGACTATAAATGAGGGGACACCCTTAAAATTTAGGAGAAAGTTTCCAGGTGAGGAAAGCTGCACCTCTAATTTCCCATTTCCAATCACTCCCCTTGGAAGAAGGGCAAGACCCACCCAGTGGTCAGCAATCCTGCAAATGCAGGGGATAGGATATTTTCAGAAGGAAAAATTCAACAGCTTCAATGGCTTATGATTTTTTTTTCAAAAATTCCCCCTAAGAGTTAGGAGTGTCAGACATTGACATAAGTCTCAGAGAACTGACCCGTAAAATAATTAGAAGAGGAATTCCCCCAGGCCCCACCCTCTTGTCTTAGAGCTGGGTCAGATGAAAGATGCCTCTGTTTACTTCCTGATCCATCTAATTTCTGTAACAAGGACCATCCCAAACACATCTCCCAGCAGCTGCTAGAGCTGAAACTCAAGAGGTTGCCCCAGGCGCCATGGCACCTTCTTAGAGCCGTTCAACCCTAATGGATTAGCTTTCCTTAGCACAGGTGGCAATTTAACAGGAGACCAAACTTTTACACTAGTAAGAGACCATTGGAAATAACTTCAAAGCCCATAGGCCTAAAGCACAGCTAAGAAAACACAAGGTTTTCTAAAATGCAAATCAGCTGCCCAACCGCCCACCCACAGTTTTCAAAGGATGATAATTTTGAGAGTAGTGGGAATGACAGAAATCAAAGAATAATGCAATTTCAAAAATAAAGAAAAGTCAGCATATTTCCATTAGAAATTCTAAAACTGCCCTTTTTAATTCTGAAACAAAACTGGAGGACCAAATTTTGCATAAGACTTGGTCATATTTCAAACAAAATATTACCACACTTTTGCCTGAGAAACTTCTTACAAAGTTCCAGAAGCAATATCAAGGACTAATTGATTTACTTTTATTATACAATATTTTCTATGTATTTTTAAATACAGAAAGCCAAAACAAAAACAAACAAAAAACTGCATGATCATCCTTTTCACAATAGCCCAGAATTGTAATTAAGCTGCTTACATAAAAATGTTGGTAAACAGGGCATAATATATATACCATAACACTTCCTAATATATGATGAGAGCACATGAAAAAGTTTAGGAATTAGGTGAGTCAGAGAAAGAGCAGATTAGTTAAAAGAGATTAGAGGCTGAAAAAAAATGTCTCTGAAGAGCTGACAGAGACTCCAAATTATAGGATAATGCACATAAAAGCACTTTGACACATGTAAAAACAAAGTAACTATTGTTGGAAGGTTAATAATTCAAAGGGAAATAATACTCATATATTGGTATTACTTATACATGAATTCATATATACATATATACATATACATGATGAACTAGCAGAATATTTCTTCTTTACTTTTTCCAACATCATATTTTGTATATTTAACTATAGATAATAAAGTGATTTCGAGATTGAGTTCTTTTTTGCGTTCTTAACATAACACCGTGTTTACTGAAATCAAGGGAAAGGAAGAAAAAACATACACTCTTCCTAACTGGAAGGTTGGAAAAATGTATTTGTCTTACATTTTTAGATTTTAATCTCATACTAGCTTATCAGTACCTAACTATATGTAACTACCAGAAAGAATTCTTTTAAAAAGTGGAACAGAGGTGGAAAACAACAATGGAAATGAAGACTTGTTCCATAAGTAAAGTCTCAAACTGCCTCATAGTTCATATTCACTCCAGTTTTATTTTTTATTGCATAGAGTAGAAAATTGACATGAAAATATATGGTGTTTGTGAAGACATTTGGTGTCATAATTACACTTTTTGTAGAAAAAGAATTTCTGCTTTAATCAAATAGAGCTGTGCATTCTTGATACTTGGATGAGACTTTCTCTAATATATTTACTAATTTTTTACATGAATTAAACATGTGACTGTCATGTACAGGCAAAAGAATCCTAAGGGGTTTGATAATGATCTGAGTAGGAGTTTGGGACTCCAAATGTGATCTTTTGGACAGATTCCCTTTCATTTTTTGCACCCTATTTGTTTTTCAGGAAACAGTTCATTTTTTTAGGCACGATCCCAGCGTGGATCCTAGAATCCTGCCTATTTTGAAAATCTCCCAGTGCTCATTTTATGAGGTCCCATGGGCATGATTAGGAATCTAGCAGGAGAGAAATAAGCTGGCAAAAAAAAAAAAATGCTGACTTGAGCCTCAGCAAGTCCAGTTTTTGTGACATTGACTAGCTTTGTGAGCCTGGGCTGGTCACTTCATTTCTGTGGACCCGATTTCTCATTCTTTAAATGAAGGGATAGGAGTAGATTCGATTTTTAAAGTCAACTGTAAGATTACCATTCTATCGTAGGGCAAATTACATTTTAATTTCATATTAAAATTCAATATTTTATTATGTCATATTCTATATGTCATATTCTATAACATGTCATATTCTATAGCATGTCATATTCTATAACATTATTATAACTCCTGCATTATTTTTTATTGAAGTTGTCTTCATAAATGAGCTGAGACATCATGCAATAGAATAGGTCAGCCAGTTTTGTTTGTCCATTTTTAAAGGTAATGGAATAAAAGACCATTTAATTTCTGACTCAGTGGAAGTCATGCACCAGATTAGTGATAGATTAGAGAAAAGAAACTAAGACCCCTTTCTTCCTAATCAGTCAGTGTTCTGAAGTAGGTATGTATTTATTTAAGAGAAGTTATTTGTCAGGAAGCACTAAGAATAGGATTTGACCCTTGCAACCATAATCTGTGAAGAATCATTAGTAACAGCTTCATTCTCTCGTTTCATTGCTTACACCGTTATTTTAAATTATTTGTTATAGAGACTATATCAAACATTGCACAGAGTTTTCATAGAATCTGTGCTCAATAAATACATGTAAAGATTTGCCTAGAATGTAGATATTAACTTGCAGTTTCTGTACTAAGAAATATAACCTGTTATTTAAATACTCACTTTGACACTTGGCCTTGTGATCTTCAGCAGATTACTCAAATTCCCTGAGCCTAATTTCACCATTCCTACCTCACAGGATTATCATAAAGATTAAAGGAGATAATGCACGTACTGGCCTGTCTGTTCTTCTTCCTTTTGTTAATTTTATTACTATTTTTATCTTTATTTATGTCCATCTATTTTTTCTTCCTTTCTCCCCAAAGACAGAGGCATGTCTTAGTCAACTTTATCTGCCAGCCCAGAAGAACTTTAATTAGTATTGCATTCATTAATACACATTCTCTGCCTATACTAATAATTTTGTTAGATGCTTTCCTTGCCAGTGATAGCTCTTTCTCATGTATCCTGGTTGGATGTGATTCCCGCATATGGCCCAGTTGGGCAAATTCCAGGGAAATAAGAGAAGCTGCAGAGGAGAGGGCTAGAAAGGAGCTGGTAAATTTTAGAAGTAAGCAAAGGAAGAGAGGAGCCCCAAGAAAGGCCAATATTTTAAAACTGAGTCACTAGAAAGGTGAGAAGGTCATTATCAGAATTAAAAATCACAGAAGCACTACTGGGTGGGATAAAGAAAGAGCTCATGTGGGAAATGTTACCCATGAAAGACCTTCACATGCTGAGATTTGCACACACAGGGGAAAGGGTAGGATTGGTACCCGGGAAGTGGTGAGCCTGGAGTTGTCATCGGTTTCAAGGCTCCATGAAGCCATAATGTTAAATCCGGTTGTTAAAGCAGAGAAAATAACTGGAGAAAAGATGGTTAAGGACAAATCCTTGGGACAATATCTATATTTAATAGTTGGAAGGAGAAGGAAACACACATTTTTAAACATAACCACTAAGCACCATCGCCAAGGTTCTCATAGGTAAAACTTTAGAGTATCCCTTTAGTTAGGCATTATCCCATTATAGAAAAGATCAGTCTGAATGTTGAGACTTGCTGGAAGTCACACAGGCTGTATAGACAATAACTAAATGATTTATTTTTTCTTCTCCAATCATTAATGTTTAATAGAATATTTTAATACCAACCTAATATTAGTAACTATAGAAAACGCCCTTTCTAACAGGATCTAGAATAATTTTAATATATTATCAACTATATCAATATATCAATGCTATAGTTTAAGTTAAGCTATAGCTTTGATAAAGATGCAGACATTTCTTTAGAGTTAAGAAAATTGGTTCTTGATTTTCTGCCAGATATATGATGAGAAATACAAATTTGTAAATAACTTGAAAATGATCAGGGATGGATTTAGACTGTATTTGTGCTCACTAATGAACACGACAATTTTTTTACCTTCTGGCCTCTATGTCAGATACAATGGAGAATGACGATCTGTCTTGGGGAAGCTGGGAAAAGCATATTTCATCAAATAAAAACTTGGTTAGCCCTTCCTGATATCACCCACATGCTGAGGCCTCCTTCTCAGATGCAAAGCTCCTTTATTCACAGGTTCCTTGGAAGAATGTTTCCCAAAATAGGCTGCATGTTAAAATCACCAGAAGGTCTTGCAAAAATACTGATGGGTAACTCCAAGATATTCTGATTTAATTTCTATGGGGTGCCACTTGGGCATCAAGATTTGTAAAAGTTCCTTAGATGATTCTAGTGTTCAGCAATATTTAAAATAAAGAGGCTCCCAATGTCTTCCAACCAGAGATGAAAGGAATAAGGAAAGATTGAAAGTAGGAGATGTCAACAAATAGTAACTATTTGAAGCAACAGAATTTCTATAACATTTACTGTTCAATTCAAAGTAAGTGCAACTAAATCTTCCACAGATAATAAAGAAGCTACCTAAGACAATATATGGGAAACTCTAACAAAATGCAGTTGCTCAAATAATATACAATTTATATTTTAAAAATTTATATAATACATAACAAGGCCCATTTTATGAATTTATCACTGAAATATATTTATCTTTCAGAGCATTATTAGAAAGAAATTTCTATTTTCAAATAGAAATACCAGCATATATAGGGATTTTCTGTGTTCTGAGTTTTCAGAGCATTTTTGTATATTTTTAAATCAATCCACATCAGATTCTTCTGAGGTGACATTGTTAAAGAATGCAGCCCAAAATACCTACATCATAGTCATATTAATTGTGTGCTTAAAATGTAGGGTTTTTCCCTTTCAATTCAAGACTTACCAAGAATCAAAATTTCTGAGTGCACCTCAATTTTCTATATACCTAAATTATTACAGGACCTCTATCCTAAAGTAAAAAGAACTAGGTGCTGTTCTTCATTTATAGCTAAGAAAACTAAATCTATAGTTATAAAAATGATTATGCTCATTTGAGTGTTTCTCTTTTAATGCTGGATACATACATGATTAGCTGAATTTCCTTCTTCTCAAAAGGTTGGAATGGAGAAGACATAACATTTTGGGGTCAACACCTTAATAATATTGAATGCTTAATATGTGCTAAGAATATTGTCTTAGACAATAGAAACACAATAATAAAAAAAGACATGATATATGGAATCAAGGGACTACTAAAACCTCAAACTCACATATTACTTTAGGTGAATAAGCAATTGCAGAGACTTTGTAATTAGGAGAACTAAACTGACTTTCTGTCCTTAAGAAGGGACTGCCCAGTTTTGGAAGAGGAATAACTGCCACCAGGCTTTCAAAGAAGTATTAACAAGATAATTTCTGTGTGCCTCTATAATGAAGGTTAGAAGACCTTCGTAGAGTTTGCTATATCTAGTATTGGCTGGAAATGATTCACAGTTAAAAACATAAACAAACCAAACAAACAAACAGAAAGTTAGATTTTTTTTAAATAGTATATGGAGTTTAAGAGAAGAAGAGTTTATTTCAAATGCTAATTGAATTAGCATGTATTAATGGAGAAAAAATCAGTGACTACAGTGGTTTTGATTATTTTCTTTTTGGATGGTGGAACAAATATATATGAGTTCTTTACATGTATGTAATTTTGCTCACTTCTTTCCTTTTCAACTTGACACATACCATGAGCATTTTTTTCTTTTTCTTTTTGGAAAAGATTTTATGGGCTATGTAAATGTTTGACATAGAGATGGACCATCACTTATATTAAAAATTCAATTATGTTACAGAATTTTTGTTTATATATTTTGGGCATAATAAGCAAAGTAGTAATAAATATCTTTGTAAAGAATCCAATGTCTATACTGTATGTTTAATTATTTTATTAAGAGAGATTCCTAGAAGTAGAATTATGCTGGATTCAGTTGGAGAGATAAAGGATATAAACTCTTTGAAGGTTATGATTACTTACTGATGAACTATTTTCTGGAAGAGTCATACAAATAAAAGCTTTCATTAGTATTTCATGAGTGTATATCTCCTCCTACCCATTCTAACAGAATATTATTGTTTTAAATCTTTATTTATCACACACTTTCAATTTGCTATCATCAATTATTAGTGATTAATAATAAGTAAAACTCATTTATAACTTCTTGCATATTTAAAAAAGTGACAATTATTTTATTACTTATTTGAATTTCAAGGATTATAATACAAATTTGCCAATTAAAAATGCAAATGAAAGTCATTTCTGTCCTATGAAACCAAATAGTGATGGTAGTTTTCAAGAATGAAAAAAAGAAAAAGAACATTTTTGGACATGTACTATATACTCTTATAAACATTTGGGGATTTTGTTGTTATTGTAGATGAGAACATCAGAAAGTTTAAGTACAGTTTTCAGGATTTTTAATTTACTATGTAGCATCAATGTTATTCAACATCAATTGTGACTTCAAATTTTATGTTCTTTAGATTATATAATTACAAATAATGTTTTTATTTTTATTTCCGTGGTAAAAAATATATGAGATCACAAAGGACATTGTCTTCTCTAAGAGCTACCTTCTTAGAAATTAAGTAATGATAAACAATAATTAATAATGGATTAATATAGTTAATTTAAAAAAGATGTTTGCCTAAAAATACAAATAATATTAAAAAAGTGACAGGGCAAAAACAAGTATATTTAAATTTTACTGAGCCACAAATAGTTTAAAATTAGTTGAAGACAGTCAATAAACTTAAACATTGTTTTTAATCTTAATCCAATTTTGTTTCTAGGTTTATTTCTTCTTAAATGCCACATCACAGTCTCCCTACTGATATCATCTAAAGCTTTGATGTCTGATGCCCATAAATCACAACAAAAGTGAATGATATTTCGATTATATTCAAGGGTATAGAATTGTTATTTAAGTTTCAAAATACTAGAAATGATAAAGCTGAATTTTAGTAGAGTCAAACATTTCCAGTTTAAGATGAAAAACAGCTTTTTTTCCCAAATATAATTTCTTTAAAATGTTTCTTTGAGAGCACAAAGTTAATTTTTAGGCTAATAATAGAAACTATAATTTGTGTAATATATAAAACTTCATCTTCTGATATCAGGAATACATAAGTATGCTTGGATTATATATATTTAGTGATAGATTGAGCTATATTGTCTCTGTTTACAAAAGTAATATATTTCTATATATAAAATGAAAAGGTATTCATATATGCACTTACAAATATATAAATAAAAAATATATTATCAATTACATATATACTGAGTTACAGAATATGTCTCTGGTATATAAGCAGTACACATGTCATAAATATGTATTCTTTGCATATGATGAAAGTAAATGTTATTTTCTTCTCTAAAAATTATGTCACACATTTTATTTGGAATAAAAATAACACTGAATTTCTTTTAAAAGGACATTAATGTGATTCAACATCAGTTTTGAAATGATGAAAGTAAATGACTAAGAACCCAGTATATAATCATAAAATCTAGGTTGTACACGTAAATTTTCAAAAGTAATAAAGTATAAAGACAGAAACAAATTAATAAGGTCAATATGCCTAATGATGAAGAACATATAGACAGCTAACTTTTACCTTCTATTTTTATATCTTTATCATTTATTGCCTATGAGTGGAGGAAGGAAAAGGTCAAAAACCAAAGGTAAAGCATGTGTAGGAAACCAAATAAGTTACTTTCACCCTTAGAAATAACTGTTTACAGTGTATCTGGGATAAAATTAGCTTTGAGTTTAAATAATGATTACAACTAACTATGAAATAAATGGACAAAGACCCAAGAAGTGTGCACTATTTCTAAAATCTCTATCAATCAATCATGCCTGCTACAAAACTTATTTCATCAATAATTTGTTAAAGATCAGGCCCCTTTCCTTGACTGATTCTGCAGACAAGGACAGTTAACTCCTCCTGGTTAGAGTAAAGGTGATTTTTTTCACGTTATGGCTGTGGTTACTAATTCTAGACTGTTCCAATCCTGAAGATCTATAAACTGGCCAGATCTGATGTTCTGGCTTAGGAAATCACTAAAGAAGGACTCTAGTTATTAGATAAGGTCTTTCTTCATATTTTCCAAAAGCAAATTAAGTTACGAAATGTCTGTTTTAACACTCAGAAGCACACAGCATACTTACTTGGTGAGCTAGGAATGCAGAGAGGCCAAACGAGATCAAAGGAAAAATTTGCATTTTCTCTTTTTCTTTAGCCCAAATGTCATTAGTAATATCTCCAAAATTATTACTTTTTATCAGGTTTCTTGGCTCCCTTTAGCCCTCAAGCTCACAAAATATTAAAAGAGAGACGAAAGAATCTGAAAGAAGTACCTACATTTAAGCAATTGTACATTAAGAAAAAGAATGCTATCTATTTAATTAACATGTCACCTTCTGGAAGGCCAGGTGTTCCTTAGAAGTTACCTATATAAGTATTGATCTATCTAAACCTCATGTGGGTTGACAAGATAATGTGGCAACAGAAGCTTTGTCTGAGGGAAAAAATATGTCTAAAGACTTGTTTACTACTTCAGCTCCTGTTTAAAAAAGGATTTCACAGCGCAGTCTTTGTTCCTAAGTAGGGTTGTGCCTTTTGTACAAGTTAATGCTTGCAGAACAATTTTACTGTGATTATTTGTTGTTCATTACTTAGACATGTGGGTTAGAAATGTGTGCTGTTACCGGAGTTCCTTAGGCTATATTCACCTCCCAAATGTGGGTGACATATTACATACATTTAGCTATAACAGTGTTGATTTTAGAAAATTTAAAAATACTATATACAATAGAAAAAGTATGCTTATCTGCCTCAATATTTATTTGTTTAATTATATAGATTTATATATGCACATGTATACACACATGCACATTTATGAACTATAGATATATAGTTATAAATATATTTGTGTATTAAAATGTGTTTTATGCAGATCCAGAAATTGATGAGAATTGTTAATATATTGGAATGGATTTTTTCTTACTACTTCCTTGAGAAAAAGGAAATATAAATATGACTGGCTCGCAATTCCTGTCTTACAAAACCGTAGGAATAAAAATGATTGCATAACTCAGAAAAACAATTTAAGATCAATGTAATAAAAATATAGATATGTCCACGTGTCAAGCTTTTGTTTTATTAATATAACCAAATATAAAGATAAGGCCAGCAAGTGCCATTTCAAAATTAGAGCTGAACAAGTCCTAATAATAGCAGACAGTAGGAAACTTTCACTGGATAACCACTTTCCATTGCCAACAGTATGACTTACTGCTCACTGAATCAGTGAGAAATCAGGCAGAAATGCTTAAAATAAAACTAAAATAAAGTAATTTCAAATTGTAGAAACTAAATGTGAAAATGCACTGACAGAATCTGCCATCACTCAGTGAATTGACAAGTAAGCAACAATGCAAGGAGAAACTGAGACAGCTATCCTCCTGCTCTGTATAAAAGAGACAGGAACACACAGGAATTCTGGTGATTGGGAGGATTTAATGTAGGTAAGGCAGGAGCAATTGTCCAGAATGTACCACAGCATGAAGAAAATATTCCACTTCATTCATTCATTTCCTTCATTTGTTCTAGGATTTTCTTTTCTTTTCTTATTATTTTTTTGTTGTTGTTGTTGTTGTTTTTTGAGATGGGGTCTCGCTCTGA
The DNA here is from genome assembly GCF_000001405.40 of Homo sapiens. Lineage (NCBI taxonomy): Eukaryota > Metazoa > Chordata > Mammalia > Primates > Hominidae > Homo > Homo sapiens. The sequence goes on along the minus strand of NC_000006.12, from coordinate 9,306,937 downwards.
CCCCATCAGAGCGAGTGGCTGAAGTGCAGTGGCGTGATCTCGGCTCACTGCAAGCTCCGCCTCCAGGGTTCCGGCCATTCTCCTGCCTCAGCCTCCCGAGTAGCTGGGACTACAGGCGCCAGCCACCACACCCAGCTAATTTTTTATATTTTTAGTAGAGACGGGTTTCACCGTGTTAGCCAAGATGGTCTCAATCTCCTGACCTCGTGATCTGACCACCTCGGCCTCCCAAAGTGCTGGGATTACAGGCGTGAGCCACCACACCTGGCCAGGATTTCTTAAATCGCGATTTTTTTTTTCAGTTATCTATTGCTATGTAACAAATACATTTTAAGCTCAGTGACTTCAAACGATTACCATTTTAATATTTCATAATTTTCTGGGTTGTCTGGGCTTAGCTGGATGGATTTCTGGTTCCTATGATGTCACTTGACTGGACTTGAACTCCAAGATGGCTCCTGAACTTGGTTGGCAGTTAGTGCCGGCTGGCTGTAGCCAGTTAACTTGAAATTTTTGAGAAAGCCTCATCTCTCTTCCATGTGACTCCTTCATGTGGTTTGGGCTTCTCTGGGCAAACAACAGGTCACAAAAAGAAGCGTTCAAAGAAGACACATTCCAATGCCTGAGGACTCATCAAGCCTCTGCATTATGCTTGCTAATATCCCATGAGCCAAAGTTAGACATAGGGCAAGCTCAAAGTCAAAGTAGGTGGAAACTACACAGGGTCTGAATACAAGAGGGCATGGGTTCACTGGGCGACTCAAAAGTAACATAATTTCCCTTGCATGCATGTGATTGAATAGGGGAATGGTTTCAGAAGTGGATTCGGGGTAGCAGCATTGAGAAGGCAAGAAGGCTAGCGAGAATATACCCTCAGCAGTACTGCAGCTTCAGACTGATCCTATGGGAAGCTCTGAAGCTAAATTTTCACCCAGAATTAGTCCAGCCTTAAGACAAGGGGGGCATGCAGCTCTTATAATTAGGCCAATTAAGTCTTTAGCTCTTTAGCTCTAGGAAGGAGAAGGGAAGTGAGGGGGCATGGTCTCCCAATGAGAGTGGCGTGGCTGTGAGTTATTAGCAGTCAACTATCATAGTAGCTGGAGCGGGAAGCACTTACAGCACACACAGCATCAACTACAGATGTTCAACTGCAAAGCTTTGTCGTTATGTTCCTAGGAATATTGAAGCTGGCAATGTTGATTCCACACATATCATGGAAAAGTCCTCTTTGTAAAAATGTCATTCATTCTATGTATTTTTATATTATCATCATAATTGTTTTTTCTCCTTATGCTTATAAGAAATCTATAGAAGAGAAAAAGAAAATCTATAGCATTTTTATTTTTCCTTACTTATTTTTGGAAAAAAATCCTAAAGTGAAGAATTCACTTTGTAGCATCAAGTGCTCAGCCCATAATTATTTCATTACTGGATGATGATAATGAGTAAAAGAGGTAAAGAAAGAAGAAAAAGATAAAAATGGCAAAGAGAATTTCTACAAAGAGGACTTGGAGAGCTAGGGGGAAAAAAAGGAGGCTTCCTGAGAAATAAGAATGAAGTGTCTTTTTACTCAGTGGGAACCTTATCAAAGAGCGCTTACCAGAGAAGACAGGATTTGTTGAAAAATCTTTAATAAAGTCCATTGAAAGATGTGTTTGTTCATGAAATACCCAACTAAAGATATAATTTAGAGAAATACAAGTGTTTTAAAATCTGAAAAGGAAAACAACGATCCATCTTAAGGACAGAAAATTTTATATGTTATCACAAGAGAATGAAAATAGGAAGAATCATTTGATATATTTATGAGAGTTTTAAAAAATCAATTATTAAAGAGATTATAAAATACTTTGAAGAAATAGAAAGGAAGCTGACTTTAAAAATAAATATGTTTATATTTATAGGACACTAGAGCAGAAAAATGCAATAACATTTGCATGTGTATAAGTCTTTCGTAAAGTTTACATTCAGATTTCATGAAATATGATATATTTTAAAATTACTTCTACGGTTTTAACATAAAATGTGTAATTGAACAATTTTTTATTCTAATGACAATATTCCTGATTTAATGTGTAAATTGAATATTTTAAATAAAATAATCCTTAGTGTTTGCTTTTGGCTAAATCAAGTGAAAGTTCAAATTGTAACAAAAACGTTATAGTCTACAAATATTGGTCAGATTAGTGAGCTCATTTACCAAACATTAAAGTAGCACTATAATAAACATAACAATTTAGTGCCAGTAAACGAATAGTTTGTTGGGAAGAACAGAAAGTCAAGACAGACTCAAGTGCAAATGAATATATGTTTAATATAATAAAAGTTGCCTTAAAATTAGTTATGAAAAGATGAATCCCATTATTTCCTTGTTCTATAGTACAATTCTAATGTCTCTGAAGTTGATTTGAAAATAACACATCAACTAATAAACGTACTAGAAGAAAACACATTACTCAAAGAATAAACTTGGGGCAAGAAAGCATGTTTTAGCAAGGTCATACTCTTCTAATCACACAGCGTGAAAATATTGATAAATTATAACAGTTAAACATTTTTATAAATTAGAAAACCAAAAGCAAAATCATATTTAAAACAAGAAATGGGACAGGCACGGTGGCTCACGCCTGTGATCCTAGCACTTTGGGAGGCTGAGGCAGGTGGACCACTTGAAGTTAGGAGTTCGAGTCCAGTCTGGCCAACCTGGCAAAACTCCATCTCTACTAAAATACGAAAATTAGCCAGGCATGGTGGTGCATGCCTGTAATCCCAGCTACTCGGGAGGCTGAGGCAGGAGAATTGCTTGAACTCGGGAGGTGGAGGTTGCAGTGAGCTGAGATCATGTCACTGCATGATAGAACGAGACTCTGACTCAAAAAAAAAAGAGAACAAAATGTTATACAAAGGGTATAAAAAGGTTAGCACTCATCTTTGATAAAGGTCATGTATAAATCATTAATCAATAAACAATCAAATGAAATTATTCTATTTTGTGTGTGTGTGTGTGTGTGTGTGTGTGTGTGTGTTTGTAGAATAAGAGGGAGAACATACATATACTGGGTAAGCAACATGATAATAAAAGGCCGAATTACTTAAAGGAAAAATAAGCAAACCACATAGACACACAGATTAATTTTTAAGAAAAGAACAATGGTTAAGGAACCCATGAAAATATGATAAGTCGAGGGTAATTTTATAACCTTAATTAAAATATAAAATGTAAAACTTAGCTGGGCGTGATGGCAAGCACCTGTAGTCCCAGCTGCTTGGGAGGCTGAGGCAGGAGAATCGCTTGAACCCGGGAGACGAGGTTGCAGTGAGCTGAGATTGTGCCACTGCACTCCAACCTGGGTAACAGAGCAAGACTCCATCTCAAAAATAACATAAAATAAAATAAAATTTAAAAAAGTAATAAAATATAAAATGTAAATACCTCATTTTAAAATCAATCATAAGCAATTTGATGGAGCAAAGTGTTATCTAGCTAGTTTGAGGAAATATGCACCTCATGAATTATTGGTGGGAATGTTAATTGATGCAACTTGCTTGTAGAGAGAGTTAATATCTACAAAATTTTAGCATGCACATATCATTAGACCAAGAAAATTAACCTAAAAATACATTTGAAAATGTACATGTTCAAGGAACTTCATATAAGCATTGTCTGTGATTCAAAAAGATTAAAACAATGATAGGTTACATCATGGAATAATTTACAGTTATTATAAAAGAATAAGGTAGATCTACCTGTGATCTAATGTGATCAGAAACACATGTACACACATGCACACTTATAAACACACATTCTTCCATATGCTTTGAAATGTCCTCCAATAAATAACCTTTTAATAGAACTTGGCTCTGTGGAAGACTAAACGGGTATAATACAAGTACTGGAAGAAACCCTGGAAGGAGAGGTATCTGTGATAGCTGAGCCCCACAATGGAAGCAGGGCAAAATCCCCGTCACTCATAGAGGAGAGCTGCCTGGGCCAGCAACCAGACCCATCTGATAACAATAGGAGCGGGCAAATATTGTCTTATTCTACCAAGATTTGGGGATTTATTTGTGACTGCAGCCTATCCTTGTCTATATCAGAAAAATAAAATATATACATTTATTACTCTTTTTCCCCCAAAAGTGCAAAATAAATTTTAATATAAGAATTATCTTGTTTGATTTCATAGTACTTTATCTAAATTTTTCTTTCCTATAAGGAAATATTTTCAAATTTTGGGGTTAGGAAACACCTAAAAAGTCTCTTAAATTCCATTTATTTCAAGATTTCAGCACACAGTTTGGCCTTTATTTTTTCCAAACCAGCAAATATTTTGCAAAACAAACTTAGTTGCTCAGCTTTCAGATAGAGCCTAAGACTATACACATAATGTAAGACAGGCAGTGAATAATTTATTTCACAAAATATCACGCAGAAATTGTGAAAACAGAGGAATATGGCCTGTGACTACTTAGATGCCTCAGGTAAGAGATAGGTCTGTATATGAATCATTGC